>NC_000015.10:22879421-23053147 GCF_000001405.40 Homo sapiens
TGGGCTCCCGGGGGCTCCCCTTTCATGCTGGCCACTCGTGCTGTCCACCATGGGGCACGTGCAGCCATTCAGATTTAAATCAGTGATAATTCAGTAACATTTAGCACTCAGTTCCTCAGTCACACTGAGCCACACTTCAACTGCTCAGCGGCCTCAGGCATACAGAGGGCCCTCCTGCGCAGCAATGCCTTATACCTTACAGGCACACCAAATATGTTCATTTAGATGTTGAAAACATCACATAATATAACAGTTTTATGACGTTAACACAGAAAAACATTCTTGAGACAGTGAACTACAGTACATTTTTGTTTTTCAATTGAAGGGAACAAATTCAAACTAAAGTCTCAACAGCCACAAAAAAAAAAAAATGATGCACAGCTGTTGCCACACCCCCACTAAAGAACCCGCCAAAGAAAGCCCTCCCCTGGCCGGTGGGGTGGGGTGGGGTGGGCTGGGGCGGGGAGGGGCGGCGTTGGGGGGCCACTCACCAGGCTCTGCTCGATGAGCAGGCAGAAGAGGATGGCGTTCCCCACCTCCCGCAGGTTCTGGAAGCACACCGTCTTCAGCTCTGCGTACTCCACGATGTCCTTCAGCTGGTGGTGGAAGAACTCCAGGATACCTACGGTGGCGGGAGTGAGGTGGGGTTGGGGGACTGGAGGGGGCCGGGCCCTAGCAGCCTGGGTCCACAGCCAGGAGCACCTGCCGTTCTGACACCGCCATCAAGCCTGGCTATAAGGACAGCCACAACGTCCCATCCCCAGCATCTTCCCTGCAGCGGTGGTTTATTCGCCACCTGGGCACGTTCTCCACACACCATGTGACCCCGGGCCTTGGCTCTGAAGCCTCTTTTCAACTCAACCTCATATCTTTAGGGAAGGCTATGATGATAGGAAACGTCACCACATGACAAGAACAAAGACTGCACCACATCCCCAGTGGGGGCAGACAAGGTATTTGACAAAATGCAATCTCTCTTCGCAGGCATGGAAGGGGCCGCACCTAATCTGAGAAAGGGCATCTAGGAAGCCTGCAGCTAACTAACAGCACGCCCAACGGGAGGCCGCACACCAGGCCAGCTCCAGAGCAAGGCAGGCGTCTCAACGGCATCCCGGACAGCGGAATAAGGCACAAAAAGACGCAAGGTGCAAATATGGGACAGAAGGCCAACGTTTCCCAGCCAATCTACAGCTTCAACTCCAGCCCAGACAGAAACCGGCAGCTGACCGCACAATGAACGTGGCATCAGGAGGGGCCTAAACTACCCTGGGAAGAGCAAAGCGGGAGGCTCAGCAGACCTTAAACCCTTGTCCCAGCAGGTCTTGCCCGAGTGCCCCTTCCCCAAGGACCAGCGGCCCGACACGGCCCCTCTGCTCCTCCCAGCTCTCAGCACCGCTGCAGGGACTCAGCCCCACTTGGCGGGGGTGGGGGCGGGGACGCTCATGCACCTGTGTCATTCCCAGCAAGCTTTCCCTGTACCACACTGGGAAATGGCTCCCTCCTCAACATCTGAAATTTCCATCTCTAGTCACGACATAAGCATTGGTTTTAATCATCCCAGCATTCCTCCTCTACTTTCTGACAATAAACTGAAAACAGATTCTCTTGAGCCAGGGCCGTGCTGATGGCTACTTCCCCATGGTGGCTGAGGGGGACACCTTATCGTCTCCTCAAACACCAGCAACAGCCCTGGGGAGTTGCCAAAAAGCAAAAAGTCCTGAGCCACGTGTTCAAGAGCTCAGCCACGCTGACTGACTGCCCATCAGGACAGTGCCTCGTCGGTCACCCACGTGCAGGCTCAAGTCGCTTTACAACACAAGGCTAGTGTTCAACTGTCCAGCTTTCAAGAAAACTCGGCCAGGTAAGAGACTAAAAGCAGTTTTGTTACGTGACAAAGGTCCCTGTCATACAATTTTATGAGACAATGCTTTCTGAGATCACTAAAGCTATTTATTTGCATTGCCCCAAACCAACCCACAGCAAGTCACGTGGGCCTGTCCCTAAGAGCACACCTGCCTGAGGGCCCTGCAGCTGGACCTGCAGATGGATGGGACGGCCTGGGGGCAGGGGCAGGCCTTGCACCATCTCGGTGGGCCTGTCTCTGAGCCTCAAGTCCCTATAGGCCCAGCAGGGCAGCAGGACCCAGCAGTCGGCTCTCTCGCCTCATTGGGTGGCAATTCTTTCGTAGGGGTGCCCGAGAGCGTGGTGTTCAGGGGTCTCTTGTCTCAACTCTTGCAGGCTGACCTCTGCTTCCTCGCCTGCAGACAGTGACCCCAACACACCTCTTCCTGGTTGTAAGGTGCATTTGTCTGTCTACTGCCTCTTCCCACATGGCAAATCTAATCCTTCTCAAGAATTTCTGACTTGAATTCCTTTCTGACCTCTCCACAGACAGCACTGTGAGCTCCACACGCCCGCACTCACCAGGAGAGCCGTACTCGTGCCGGGGCAGGCGGCAGATCTTGGGCATCACCTCCATCAGCGTCTTCACGTACTGCAGGATTGTGCCTTGCAGCTGCCGGGGAGATGAGACGGGCTGCGTCAGCCACCCCACTCCGCTCTGCTAACGCCTGTGGCCGGCGCATACCCTGAAACAAGTCTGTTAGCAAAGAGCTCGGTAACCAGCAAGGCTGCAGGATCGTCTGGCTGGGGAATAAAATCCACCCCGGGAGAGAGAGCAACCATCACCAGGTGGCTTCCCATGACTGAATTCATGTTCTGAAACTGGACTCCTCTTTCAAGATGAAAGTGGTCCCGGGGTGCCACAATGAGGGGAGAGCTTTGTCGCCAGGTGTCTCCTATGGGGATGCACCCCAGCATCGTGAGCACTGCCAGCTCCAGGGTCCCCCAGGACGCTGTCTGTGCTCCTGGGTGCGGCCCCAGGCTCAGCTGTGGTGAGGTCAGCAATCCTAACACCCTCCAAGCTGCCACATGTTTTGGGACAGAGTCCCCAGCGGGTCCTGGAAGGACCTGTTTGGGTCACGGGCTGATGGCTGTGCCAAGTGACCAAACTCTTACATGGTCTCAAGTCACAGAAGATTAAAATAATAAAAAGGATGAAAAATTATAAAAAGTAAGTTATGTCTAGAAAACTAAATCCAGGCTGGCCAAGGTGGCTCACGCCTGTAACCCCAGCACTTTGGGAGGCCAAGATGGGCAGATCTCTGGAGCCCAGGAGTTCAAGGACAGCCTGAGCAACATAGCAAGACCCCCTCTCTACACATACAAATAAAAACTCTGCGTATCAGTTAAAATAACCTGGACCCATTCTCTTGAGTTTGAAAAGATGAGGGAAGTATCAAACTATATATGGTCAGAAATGTTTGAAGCCTAATTGAACGAATCCAGCTGTTGGAGAATCACAGTCCAGGCAGAGAAGACCCTCTGGCATGGGTGCCCCAGGGAATCCAGGCTGTGTGAAAGAAGCATGTCCAGGGAACACTCACCAGGCTCTTGACGACCTTCAGCAGCTCCTCCATGACCACGGCGATACCCTGGTAGCCGAGAAGCCGGCAGATGACTTGAAAGTGTGGAGGTCCCACGAAGTTCCGGTAGCTGCCGTAAATGCTGGAGTAGGCCAAGTTCAAAGCCTGGAAAACAGGGCACAGAGCTCTCAGCATGGTCCCCGCACACATGTGCAGATGAAGAACTGTGTGAGAAGATCACTCAACACACACAGGCTCAGGTGAGCGGGTCTGAGTCTACTGACTTGTAAAATCTACTGCCCTTAACTGGTACAGTTACAAAACCTACTTAGCCTGCCACCAAAAAGAAACCTGCTAAAATAGAAAAGAAAAGAAAACCATTTGGTGTTTCAACATTTGTTGAATAGCCGACTCGCTAGAAGCCATTTTGAAGTCTAGAATGAGAAATGAATACGACCCAGAGTTTCCCCCTGCCTCCCAGTCTCCCAGCAGGATGCCCAAGGTCGGACCCTGAAGGGGCCGGGGGAGCTGCCTTCTCAGGATGCACAGGGCACCCCCGGAGCCGGGAGAGAGACCCCTGTGGAGTGGGAAGGCGAGGAAGGTAGTTAGGGTGTGTATTAGTCCGTTTTCACACTGCTATAGAGAAATACCCAAGACTGCATAATTTATTTTAAAAAAAAGCAGGTTTAGGCCAGGCGCGGCGACTCACACCTGTAATCCCAGCCCTTTGGGAGGCCGAGGTGGGCAGATCACAAGGTCAGGAGATGGAGACCATCCTGGCTAACACGGTGAAACCCCGTCTCTACTAAATATACAAAAAATTAGCCGGGCGTGGTGGCAGGTGCCTGTAGTCCCAGCTACTCGGGAGGCTGAGGCAGGAGAATGGCATGAACCTGGGATGTGGAGCTTGCAGTGAGCCGAGATCGCGCCACTGCACTCCAGCCCGGGTGACAGAACGAGACTTCATCTCAAAAAAAAAAAAAAAAAAAAAGGCAGGTTTAACTGACTCACAGTTCCACATGGCTGGGGAGGCCTCAGAAAACTTACAGTTATGCAGAAGGTAAAGGGGAAGCAAGCACCTTCTTCACAAGAAGGCAGGAAAGATAAGAGAGAACAAAAGGCGAAGCCCCTTATAAAACCATCAGATCTCGTGAGAACTCACTCACTATCACAAGAACAGCATGTGGAAAACTGCCCCCATGAACCAGTCAACTCCCACCAGCTCCCACCCTTGACATGTGGGCATAATGGGGATTACAAGTGGAGATGAGATTTGGGTGGGGGACACAGCCAAACCTTATCATTCTGCCCCTGGCCCCTCCCAAATCTCAATCATGCTTTCCCAACAGTGCCCCAAAGTCTTAACTCATTCCAGCATTAATTCAAAAGTCCAAGTCCAAAGTCTCATCTGAGACAAGTCAAGTCCCTTCCACCTATGAGCCTATATAATAAAAAACAAGTTAGTTACTTCCTAGATACAATAGGGGTACAGGCATTGGATAAATGCTCCCATTGCAAATGGGAGAGACTGGCCAAAACAAAGGGGCTCCAGGCCCCATGGAAGCCCAAAGTCCAGTGGGGCAGTCATTAAATCTTAAAGCTTTAAAATAATCTCCTTTGACTCCGTGTCTCTCATCCAGGTCACACTGATGTAAGATGTGGGCTCCCACAGTCTTGGGCAGCTCCACCCTGTGGCTTTGCAGGGTACAGTCCCCCTCCTGGCTGTTTTCACAGGCTGGCATTGAGTGTCTGTGGCTTTTCCAGGTACACAGTACAAGCTGACTGGGGTCTGGAGGAGGGTGGCCCTCTTTTTACAGCTCCACTAGGCAGTATTCCAGTGGGGACTCTGTGTGTGGGGCTCCAACCCCCCATTTCCCTTCCTCACTGCCCTAGCAGAGGTTCTCCATGATGGCTCCACCCCCACAGCAAACCTCTGCATGGACATTCAGGCATTTCCACATGTCCTTTGAAATCTAGGTGGTCCAACACCACGCGGAAGCCACCAAGGCTTGGGGCTTGCACCCTCTGAAGCAACAGCCTGAGCTGTATGTTGGCCCCTTTTAGCGACCAGGAAGCAGGGATGCAGGGCACCAAGTCCTGAAGCTGCACGGGGATGGGGGGTGGGGTGGGGAGGTGGGGGAGGGGGAACCATAGGGGCAGGGCAGGCCCTGGGCCCAGCCAAGAAAACCATTTTTCCCTCCTAGGCCTCTGGGTTTATGATGGGAGGGGCTGCCTCGTACATGTCCTGGAGACATTTTCCCCATTGTCTTGGTGATTGACATTCAAAATTTCTGCAGCCAGCTTGAATTCCTCTCCAGAAAATGGGTTTTTCTTTTCCATCACATCCTCAGGCTGCAAATTTTCCAAACTTTTATACTCTGCTTCCCTTTTAAACAAACTCCAATTTCAGATCTCTCTCAAGTTCAATGTACCACGTATCTCTAGGGCGGGGCAAAATGCTGCTAGTCTCTTGGCTAAAGTGTAGTAAAAGTGACCTTTGCTCCAGTTCCCAACAAGCTCCTCAATTCCATCTGAGACCACCTTAGTTAGCCTGCACTTTATTGTCCATAGCACCATCAGCATTTTGGTCAAAACCATTCAACAGGCAGGGCGTGGTGGCTCACGCCTGTAATCCTAGCACGTTGGGAGGCCGAGGTGGGTGGATCACAAGGTCAGGAGTTTGAGAACAGCCTGGCCAACACGGTGAAACTCTGTCTCTACTAAAAATACAAAAAAATTAACTGGGCATGGTGGTGGGCACCTGTAATCCCAGCTACTTGGGAGGCTGAGGCAGGAGAATTATTTGAACCTGGGAGGCGGAGGTTGCAGTGAGCTGAGATTGCGCCATTGCACTCCAGCCTGGGCAACAGGGTGAGACTCCATTTCAAAAAACAAACAAACAAACAAAAAACATTCAACAAGTCTCTAGAGAGTTCCAAACTTTCCCACATCTTCCCGCCTTCTTTGGAGCCCTCCGAACTGTTCCAACCTCTGCCTGTTACCCAGTTCCAAAGTCACTTCCACATTTTCAGGTATCTTTATAGCAGTACTCCACTCTACCAGTACCAATTTACTGTATTAGTCCATTTTCACCCTGCTAAAAATAAATACCTGAGACTGGATAATTTATAAAGGAAAGAGGTTTAACTGACTCATAGTTCCACATGGCTGGGGAGGCCTCAGAAAACTTCAATCATGGCGGAAGGTGAAGGGGGAGCAGGCACCTTCTTCACAAGGTGGCAGGAATGAGAAGAGAGAGCAAGGGGGAAGAACCCCTTATAAAACCATCAGATCTCGTGAGAACTCACTATCATGAGAACATCGTCACCCCCATGATCCAATCACCTCCCACCAGGTCCCTCCCTTGACTCATGGGGGTTATGAGGATTACAATTTCAGATGAGATTTGGGTGTGGACATAGAGCCAAAACATATCAAGGTGGTTCCTGCAGAAGGACACCCCTCAGCTTGTCTAAGGACACGGGTGCAGATAGCAGGAGACCCCTACTGTGAGTATTCAGTGCTATAAATTTCCCTCTCAGCACTTTAGCTGTATACCAAATAAATCAAATAAATAAATCGAATAATCAAATCAAATAAATCACTTCTTTAGCTGTATATATCAAATCTTGATATATTTACATTTCATTCAATTCAATGTATTTTTAAATTTCTCTTGAGATTTCCTCTTCAACCCAAGGATTATTTAAAAGTGTGCTAATTTCCGAGCATATAGAGATTTTCTGGTTATCTTTTTATTATTGGTTTCTGGTTTGAGTTCATTGTAGTTGGAGAACACTCTCCATAGGATTTCAGTTCTTTAAATTTTGTTGAGGTGAGTTTTATGGCCCAGCGTATGGTCTATCTTGGTGAATGTTTCATGGGAATCTGAAAAACGTATATATTCTGCTGTTGTGGGGTAGAGGAACCTACACACGTCAGTTAGATCCTGTTGGTCGATGGTGGTGTTCAGTTCTTTTCTACTGTTGCTGATTTTGTGTCTACTTGTTCTGTCAATTACTAAAATGAGAGTTGAAGTCCCCAACTGTAACTGTGGGATTGTTCACTTCTCCTTTACTTCTATTAGTCTTTCCTTCAAGTACAGAAGCCTTGTTGTTTGACGCATAAACATCTAGCATTGCTATGTTTTCTTCGTGGTGGTTTGACTTATTATTATGTAATCTCCCTGGCAATATTCTTTGCTCTGAAGTTGATTTTATCTTATATTAATACAGCCACTCCTGCTTTCTTCAGCCTCCGCCTGATCTGTCTGCTTCCATTACTGATCCTGCTTTGTACCCCTTTGCTGGAATAAACTGCAGCTGTAAGACTCTGAGTTATGTGAGTCCTTCTAGTGAATTATCAGATGTGTAGAGGGTCATGAGACCCCCCAAAACAAAGAGCCAAAACTGATTACAGTGACGAGATTAGACAACACTGAAGGACAGAAACCCCACCCAGTGTCTGTCCCAGGCCCAAGCCCTGCGGCCCGCTGCAACCTTGAAGAAACCATCTACACATCTTCGCCCACACCCCCTCCTCCCAGCCTCTCCTCAGAGCAGCACCCTGGGCTTTATGTGCTGGGATTCTGTGTAATATTTTTGGTTGATAACAGGTTCAATGTTTGAAAAGAAGAACACGAAAGTCATCAGTGAAATCTAATGACCTCATGTTACAAGTGAGAGAATTCATTCTCAGACCCGCCCTGACTGGCTCAGGATGACAGCTGTCAGAGGAGGCATCACTCAATGAACACATGGTCCCAGGCCTCTGGCCCCCTGCCCAGTGTCCGGTTTCCCAGTAGACTAAGCTCACCCCAAAGATGACACATCCGAGAGACAACACAGCTAGGGTAACAAACAGCAGATGTGACTTAACTACTCAGGGGAGTGGGAGGAGGCACTACTTCTGGGGAAGGGCACCGTCACAAACACTGTGCTGTAAAAGACTTAAGCTCAGAAGAGGAAGCACTCTGGATGTCCAGTCACACAGCTCAGTTCAAGACAGACTCTGCTGCCCGTGCCTGATACAGTCTCCAGCCTTGTTCGACAAGCAGAGAAGGTGGGTCACAGCACACAGAGCCGGCTCTGGACTCGCCAGTCGTGCAACTTGGGTGCTCTAACTTTCACGACACTCTGAGCCTTCATCTGTGAAATGGGGACAATCTTACTTATGAGATAAAGAATACTAGTTAATGTGCTCAAAAGGGTGTCTTACTGAGAAGCAGGCATGCTGTAAGTGGTGACATGACCAAGAACGAAAAAGATAACATTGCATAAATGGGTCCCTCATCTAAGTTTATTTTATTCCTGCAAGATACCAGCCCTAGTTCACTATTCATAAAAAAAGCACTAATCTGTTTTTTGAGTGGATTCCTGTGTATTCCATAATCACACAGATATACACTGTGACTCATACTGCAGCAGAAGCAAGTGCACGTGGCATATGTGAGTGCTTGTGAGTACAAGGGCTGTCTGCTGTGAGCACATGACTCAGCTCAGACATCATCTCTTTTAGTATCCAGCCTCTTCTTGAGTGGGTGGTGGTCAACATCAGTGTCACTTGTATATGTCTAAATAATCTAATAGAAAATTACTGGTTTAGGACTAGGCACGGTGGCTCACGGCTACATCCCAGCACTTTGGGAGGCCCAGGCAGGAGATCTGATTGAGCTCAGGAGTTCGCGACCAGCCTGTGCAACATGGTGAAATCCCATCTCTACAAAAAACACAAAAATTAGCCAGATGTGGTGGTGCATGCCTGTAGTCCCAGCCACTTGGGAGGCTGAGGCAGGAGGATTGCTTGAGCCTGGGAGGCGGAGGTTTCAGTGAACTGTGATTGCGCCACTGCAATCCAGCAATGGGTGACAAAGCAAAAACCCTGTCTCAAAAAAAAAAAAAATTACTGGTTTATGGCCAGGCACAGTGGCTCACGCCTTTATCCCAGCACTTTGGGAGGCTGAAGCAGGTGGATCATTTGAGGTCAGGAGTTCGAGACCAGCCTGGCTAACATGGTGAAACCCTGTCTCGACTAAAAATACAAAAATTGGCCAGGCGTGGTGGCACACTCCTGTAATCCCAGCTACTCGGGAGGCTGAGGCACACGAATCACTGGAATCACAATAATCACTGGAGGTTGCAGTGAGGCAAGATCACACCACTGTACTCCAGCCTAGGGGACAGACTCTGTCTCAAAAAAAAAAAACACACAAAAAAAACAAAAAACAAAAAGAAAAACCATGTACTAGCTTAGGTTTTAACAAAAACGACACAAACAGTTTCTGAAACGGAGGCAGAAATCTCTTACAGTGAGGTTCAAGTTCAGTTGCAAATAGTTGAATTTAAAAAAAAATCAAATTCACATCATCAAATCTTTCTTTCTCTCCAAAAGAGCATCAGCTTTGCAAATGCCTCCAAGTGCCCATTCCCTGGAGCCATCCCTGAGGTGGTGCCCATGCACACAGGGCAGCAGGGTGCTCTGGCAGTGTAGGGGCTGACTCAAGGCAAATGTGCACCCCGCACCACCACCCTGGAACAGCGCGCTCATGTTGGCATCTTAATGGAAGCAACAGTGCCTCCCTGCACTCCTGGGAGAAAATCCTGGAGAATAAAAACGTGTGTCAAGAGCCTTTAACACCACAAAGGGCACACAGACACACTGGGCAGCAAAGATGTCACCACAGTGCTATCCTGGGATCTCAAAAACCAACCCCACGAGGCCCCTTCCAGGACTCGATCCATCAGAACCGCAGGTGCACGGCCCCACGCAGTCGGGTCGCCTGCCTACCCCCCGCCTGCCTCCCTCGCTTCCACAGCCATCCTCTCCAGATGGGGGTGACAGAGGAGCCTCTCTGCCCAGTGCCCTCTGCGCACAAATGCCTCTCTATCAGGGAGTGACAAAAACCTACTTTATTGTTATGCCTAAAACAGGGATTAAAAATTTCAAAGTCAAGAGAAGCCCAGAGCAAATCTTTTAGTTCACAGAGACCCAAGAAATTATTCTCACTCGCCAAACTTTCTAGTCCTATCTTCTAAAATAACATTTCCTTCAGTTCTAAAGGTAAAACACTACATTTTACTTTCAGAAGCAGAAGCCTCAGAACACTTACTCTAATCCTTTAAAGAAACATCCTTTTGAGTATAACTAATTATTGCATAAAAGTCAGCTTCAACTGGGCACCACCATTGGCTCATGCCTGTAATTCCAACACTTCGGGAGGCCAAGGTGGGCGGATCATTTGAGGTCAGGAGTTCAAAACCAACCTGGCCAACATGGTGAAACCCCATCTCTACTAAAAAAAAAAAAAATACAAAAAATTGTCCGGGCATGGTGGCAGGCGCCTTTAATCCCAGCTATTTGGGAGGCTGAGGCAGGAGAATTGTTTGAACCCAGGAGGTGGAGGTTGCAGTAAGCCGAGATTGTGCCCTGCACTCCATCCTAGGTGATAGAGGAGACTCCATCTCAAAAAAAAAAAAAAAAAGAAAAGTCAACTTCAATCCTTGCTAGAAAGAACATGGGAGTATCACATGGAGCAGAATGGAGGTGAATTCTTAACCACTCACAGGGCTTCGGGAAGTGAGGGGGAGCCCCGTAACAGCTGTGGCGCACCCCTGCCCAGGCGTGCACCCCACCCTGCCCCACAGAGGAGAGGCCCGGTCACTGCATTCTTGGCGCCTGGGTACCTGTCTGGATGCCCTCCTGGGGCACCAACACAGCCACATGAAGCCCAGAATCACACGAACTGTGTGTCCACTCACAGTTCCACAGCCATTAGGAGTTGCTAAGAACAGAGACAGGGTGGAGGGGCACAGCGGAGGCCGCACCTGCCAACAGCCTCGAGAACACGAACAGAGACAGGGTGGAGGGGCACAGCGGAGGCCGCACCTGCCAACAGCCTCGAGAACACGAACAGAGACAGGGTGGAGGGGCACAGCGGAGGCCGCACCTGCCAACAGCCTCGAGAACACGAACAGAGACAGGGTGGAGGGGCACAGCGGAGGCCGCACCTGCCAACAGCCTCGAGAACGCGGAGTGTGGAATGATGGAATGAGCCTGTCCCATGTTCTCCAGGCATTGGCGACCCTGGCCCTCATGTGTCAGCGAGGCTCCCAGCCCTGACATTTTTCTCCCCAAGGCAGGCAATGCCACCTCCCACCCCCACCTTTAACCTTGTCTTTGTGAAAGGCAAGAACCCACTTCCTTCAAACATCTGCACCCTAGAGAGGATCTGAATTGTATTTTTTTCAATTGCCATCATAACATTGCTAAAAAAAATAACCCCTAAAACACTAAAGATGGCCAGGCGCAGTGGCTCACACCTGTAATCCGAGCACTTTGGGAGGCCGATGCGGGCAGATCACCTGAGGTCAGGAGTTGGAGACCAGCCTGGCCAACATGGTGAAACCCCGTCTCTACCAAAAATACAAAAATTAGCCAGGCATGGTGTTGCACACCTGTAATCCCAGCTACTCGGGAGGTTGAGGCAGGAGGATCACTTGAACCCAGGAGGCGGAGGCTGCAGTGAGCCGAGATCATGCCACTGCCCTCCAGCCTGGGCGACAAAGTGAGACTCCATCTCAAAAAAATAAAAAATAAAAAGAACATATTTTCAAGGACATAATGTTTACACAGTCACCCTTGGTCCACGTGGGCCCCGTTTCCCGAAGAGGAATCTCACATCCCCTTCATCACTGCACACAGTTCAGACGACCTGTCTCTCCTGCTCAGAGATGCTCTGAGTGCCGTAAAAAGGCCGCCCCCGGCCCACACTCGCTCTTTTCAGGGGCGGGAGAGACGGGCAGCGTATGCCGAGGCTTGGGCCCTCCAAAAACCAATGCCCTGATTTGGGTGTTTGCCGTTTCCCAGGTGCAAACACTTGCGCTCCTGCCAGGTCCAAGGCACTGCCCTGTAAGGAGAAGGAAGACGCCCAAAGGACTGGAGTGAGAAGATCTCGCTCTGAAGAACAGAGGGTTAGAAAGGAATGAGTGGAAAACATTGTTTCCGCCACTCAGAGCCAGCTGGTGCGTTAGAAAGCGTCCAGGTGCAGGCAGCGTGTGAGCGGCAGGGCCTGGGCCCTCTCCATCCCAGCTCCAGGCATTGGGCAGATGGGGCAGACAATGTCCTGTGATTGTCCCCGCTTCCTACAAGCGAGGACACTTAAATACTGATGAGTGCTGGCAGCCTGCCCCCACCGCAGAGCCCGGGGACACCGCAGCTCGCAGAGGGAAGACGCTTTCGCTCTTCACAGGCGAGCCGGATCCTCTGGCCTCATCCTGGGGGCCTGCTGGCTCTTGCCGCCATCATTGTTCCTTCCCCAGCTCCGCTGAGGCTGGGGATCTGCTTGTATTTGCTCTGCTCTATTTTTGTGGGGTATCTGCTCATTTCATCTCTCTTCGTTGCTACAATGTTTATATTTTCCTTACTAAATCACACGGGTGCTTGAAACGTGAAGAAACTAGCCCTTAATAATACTCAGACTTGTGACAAGCCAAGCCACCCCCAGCGTGGACATCATCCTATCTCACACATGGTAGACCCGGGTGCTCCGGGTTTCCACCCTCCAGGCACAGGCGGACATCCTTGTTTCTGGATGTCAGACCTTCCCTGGGCTCACCTTTCCAGCTCCGCTCCTCCGGTCAGGCCTTACAGCCACCCTGGGCCTCCTTATCTCAGGAATGCACCTGAGCCTCTTCCACTTGTCTTCTCAGCTTGATGTTTTTAAACCTGTAATCTTCCAACAATCTCACTTGTGTTTGTGCTGGGAAAGAGACCAGGCCCAGCCTGACACCTATCACAAGGCCAGAGCTGTCCCAACACTACGTACGCGCTAGTTCTAGATAAGCACTGTTTTGGGTTGGTTGGCTAGTTTTTGTTTTAAATTACTGCTACTTTTCAGGAAGATGTTAACAGAATGGAAAAAAAAAATAACATTTTATACACAGCGTGATACATTTAGGTCACTGCAACCAAACCAATTAAACTACACTTCAAAACATGCTTCATTATGAGCTTCAAGCTCGTAACACGAACACATTGGAGCCTACCTTGGATCCATGCAGATACTGAGGCTGTGCATTAGGCTGCTTATCTCTTTGAAATTCCTGAGAAAATGGTAACACTGTCCGAACAAACCTAAACAAGAAAGATTTAAAAAAGAAAAAGAAACCAAATTTAACAATAGTTCTTTAAAATTCAGAAGTCCTCCATAATCCATCTACTAAATCTTCCTCCCAGTCAACTGATACAATCATCAAATAGGAAAATTCTAGTGAATCGAAAACCATAGAACGAATGAGATCTCAATACTCAAATATAATAAATGCACCCAAAGCTCAGGGGCCACAGCAGGAACACCCGGGGTCTGGTCTGCTGTACCAGAGCCGCCTCGAGCCCAACGCAATCCTCAGGTAGCTCGTGGGCTCTGCTGCGCTTCCAGACACGGCGAGGACGGTGGGGCAGCTGCCTGTGACGAGAACGGCGACGCCCCGGTGGTTCAGATCACAAGTTACACACCAGCAGGGAAGGACAGGGACACTTAGGTATTTGTAACCCACTCAATTAGTCAAGAGATTGTGTCTTGATAATGGATTAGGGGACACTTAAAATCGAATGTGTCCATTTTCATGCAGAAACATCAAACTCAGCTAAGCCTTTCAAATTGGAAGGGTTCGTTTAAACACATAAAACTTTTGCAAAGAAGTATAAGAAAGACAATTTTGTGGATTTGCTAATTATGTAATTCCAAGCACTTGATTAACTCATATTCCACTTCAGGAAATGGAAACAGATGTAATTGTGAAAATACTGCTGTCCCACACAATGTGTGCATCTGAGAGGACGTGCTGCACAGAGGAGCAGCCACTAGGCCCCCTGACCACCTACCGCAGTACTTCTGGGTATGCCTTTCCAAACGGATCCTAAATCCCTGTGCTGTCAGTATGCCAATATCCCTGGGTGCCACAGTCCTCAGTGCTTGGCATGCATGTCTGTCTGCATGTCTCTGTGCACCTGCATCTGCGTGAGTCCATGTATGGAGATGTGTTATCTGCAGATGTGTCTGCAACAGGATGTGTGCATGTCTGTGTGTCCCTGCGCCTGTGTTCTTAACACCCGTTCCAGGAAGTACATTCCATCAGGAGGCGCTACGGTCAGGGTGATGCTCAGAAAAGGGAACCCCATTTCCCAGAGATTCCTGGGCACTGCTCACACCCTTGACAGCAGCACACCTGCAAAGCCACGGCACACTCATCAACCTCTGTCCACCTCCGATGGTGACACACCTGCAAAGCTACGGCACACACGTCAGCCTCCGTCCACCTACAATGGTGACGGCGGGGTGCGGGAGAAGACAACAAATGGAAAATCAGAGTAAAAATCCATGCAGGGAGCCAAGCGCCAGGATATGATGCCACTTATATTACAGCAGACTTTTCTTTTTTTTTTTTTTTTTTTTTTTTTTCTGAGATGGAGTTTTGCTCTTGATGCCCAGGCTGGAGTGCTGTGGTGTGATCTTGGCTCACCACAACCTCCGCCTTCCGGATTCAAACGATTCTCCTGCCTCAGCCTCCCGAGTAGCTGGGATTACAGGCATGTGCCACCAACGCTTGGCTAATTTTGTATTTTTAGTAGAGACAGGGTTTCTCCATTTTGGTCAGGCTGGTCTTGAACTCCTGACTTCAAGTGATCCGCCCACCTTGGCCTCCCGAAGTGCTGGGATTACAGGCATGAGCCACCACGCCCGGCCTAGAGGAGGCTTTACTACTATGTCTGCTTAGAACACAATGTTTTCCCTGCTTAGAATGTTTAAAATGATGGTTAAATTTAGAAAGCAGGCCTTAATTTATTTTGTCTATGATATAACTCAGATACAGAACTGTTGAAGTAATGCAATTACTCTTTATAATATTATTTAAAATTTTAATCAAAATACATATATATGATACATAACATAATACATGTATTTATTCTATATAATTATATATATACATTTATAGTCTATATGTATATATTATATATTTTATATATATATATATTTTTTTTTTTTTTGTCACCCACACTGGAGTGCAGTGGTGTGATCTTGACTAACTGCAGCCTCAACCTCCTGGACTCAAGTCATCCTCCCACCTCAGCCTCATGAGTATCTGGGACTACAGGTCACCATGCCTGGCTAATTTTTTTTTTTTTTTTTAGACAGAGTCTTGCTCTGTCGCCCAGGCTGGAGTGCAGTGGCGTGATCTTGGCTCACTGTAAGCTCCGCCTCCCAGGTTCAGGCCATTCTCCTGCCTCAGCCTCCCAAGTAGCTGGGACTACAGGCGCCCGCCACCAAGCCCAGCTAACTTTTTGTATTTTTAGTAGAGATGGGGTTTCACTGTGTTAGCCAGGATGGTCTCGATCTCCTGACCTCGTGATCTGTCTGCCTCGGCCTCCCAAAGTGCTGGGATTACAGGCGTAAGCCATTGTGCTTGGCCTTAATTTTTGTATTTTTTGTAGAGACAGGGTCTTGCCACGTTGGCCAGGCTGGTCTCGAACTCCTGGGCTCAAACAATCTGCCTGCCTTGGCCTCCCAAAGTGCCGGTATTACAGGTGTGAGCCACTACGCTCGGCCTCTATATTTCTAAATAATACATTTCTACAACTTCTTCTTGATTTATCAAGTTTAGATACTGATTGACTCCTGGGTAGGATTTGGTGGCCTCTGGCCCAGTTCTAGGAGGCAGTCTCTACACCCTCATTTCTGAGTGACAGGAATGACTGGTATCACGGGGCCACACCTGACTTTATGCTAGCAAGATGACTCAACATGGGGCTGGCCACACCAGAAAGACAGCATGGGGTTAGAGGCCTGGGGCTGTGTGCCTGGTGAACTCAGCTGACTTCCTGGGAGGTGAAGGGCTGGAGGCTGAGCTCAGCTACGTGGCCAGTGATTCAGTCAACTGTGCCCATGCAACGAAGCCCCAATAAAAACTGAACACCACAGCCCAAGTGAGCGCCCCTGGCTGGCAGTACCCTGAGGAGCGTCCCACCTCAGAGCTCGGAGGGTGATGCGTCCCTGAGGACAGGGAAAGCTTTGCACATGGAAACCTCCCAGACTTTGCCCTGCACATCCTTCCAACAAGCATCCTTTCCTCCAATTGACTATAATCGTATTAGGGCACGCCCAGTGAGTACTGCGAATGTGTCACCTGAAGAGCTGGGGAGGGTGGATCCTGAACTGTAACCTGCTGGTTAGAAGTGAGGGTGGCCCCAGGGACCCCAAATGTGTGGCTGGTGTCTGCAGCAAAGGCAGTCTTGTGGAGGACTGTGCCCTCAGACTCTGCAGTTTGACAATGTCACTGCAATCCCCTAAGAGGAAAACTAAGTTTCAGCACCAATATCCTAAGCCCCCACTGCACGTTGCCTCGGGTACACTGAGGTTCAGCTCCAGCCTTATTTTGACCTGGTCAGTGCTAGGCCCAACAGTGGCTCTTTTCCTTTGTGTCGATCCTGCTTGAGGTTTATTGAGCTTCTTGTATCTGTGGGTTTATCGTTTTCATCAAATCTGGGAAATTCAAGGGCATTAATTTTGAAATCTTTTCTGCCCCCCGACAACCTCTTACTAGGATTCCAATCACAGGCATATTAGAATCGCTGATGTTTGTCTCAGTTTGCTGAGGCCCTTCTCGTTTTTTTCATCATTTTTTTCTTTTGGTGCTTCAGTTCAGCTAGTTTCCACTGTTATAATCTCAAACTCACTCAACTCCCGCAAAGTCTACTCTGATATTCGGCCCAACAAGTAATTTTTCATTCTAGATACTGCATTTCAGCTTTAATTCACTGGATTATTTATATAACACCCATTTATCTCTGCATTGTTTTCCCTGAATCCTTGAGCACATGCATAGTCGCTGCCTTAACATCCTTGTCTGCGAATTCCATCATCTCTGTCATTTCTGCGTCTGTTTTGTACAGAGTGATTTTTCTCTGGGCTATGGGTCACATTTTCCTGGTTCTTGGCATATCTAGTAATTCTTGATTGGGCACTGGGCATTTCAGTGCCATGTTGCATGTCTTGACTTTGTTACTGTCTTTTAAAGAGTGTTGGCCGGGCGAGGTGGCTCACGGCTGTAATCCCAGCACTTTGGGAGGCCGAGGCAGGTGGATCACCTGAACCTGAGGTCAGGAGTTTGAGACCAGCCTGGCCAACATGGTGAAACCCCATGTCTACTAAAAATACAAAAGTTAGCCAGGCGTGGTGGCACATGCCTGTAATCTCAGGTACTCGGGAGGCTGAGGCAGGAGAATCACTTGAACCCAGGAGGCAGAAGTTGCAGTGAGCCGAGATCACACTGTTACACTCTAGCCTGGGCAACAAGAGCAAAACTCTGTCCCCGCAAAAAAAGGAAAACTAGTACAACAAAGGGACGTGGAGAATAAAATGAGAAGGTCTAACTAACATATATCTAACTGAAATCCAGAATGGCAAGAATAGGGAGAAAAAAAAAAGAGAGAGTGTTGAATGTCTTGGGGGGCAGGCAGTTGACTTACTTGTCAATCTGCTGGATCTTGTCATGATGAATTTTTGGCACTTGTAGGGATGGGCATAATTCAGTACCTCTGGCACCTCTAGTGAACATCTGGGTGTTCAACAGGGTTGTTTTTTTTTTTTGTTTGTGTTGTTTTTTAAAGATAGTCTCTGTCACCCAGGCTGGAGTGCAGTCGCGCATTCTTGGCTCACTGCAGCCTTGACGTCCCGGGTTCAAGTGATCCTCCCGCCTCAGCCTCCTGAGTAGCTGGGACTACAGTCGCCTGCCACCACGCCTGGCTAATTTTTGTATTTTTAGTAGAGGTGGAGTTTCACCATGTTGGCCAGGCTGGTCTCGAACTCCTGACCTCAAGTGATTTGCCTGTCTTGGCCTCCCAAAGTGCTGGGATTACAGGCGTGAGCCACTGTGCCCAGCCTCAACAGAGTTCCATTCTTCTTGCTAGTAGGAACTCAGAAGCCTCCTGGCCTTGTGTGAACGCTGAGAATCATTCAGCTAGCAGCTCCCTGGCACACGCACAGTTTAGTATTCAAGCAAAGGCTATGGGATGCCCATGTGGTTTCAGGAGCTGTTTCTGTTAAGGTCCCTGCTCTCTCATATGCCACCCTGCAAATTCCAGCTGCCTCAGCTTCCCCAAGTTCCAGTTTGTCCCCTCTACCAATCAGGAACTTCCAAGCTGTACTTGGACTGTTCCTCTCTGAACTTGGTCCAGAAAGTGCTTTCAGATGGAAGTCAGGGAGATCACAGGGCTCACCTCACTTGCTTCCGTCCCCTCAGCAAAAGGTCCGAGTCTGAAAACAGCTGATCCATACGTCCTGTCCAGTTTTTCACTTAAGGAGTAAGAATAAATCTAAACCCTGTTACTCTATCATTCCAAATAATTTAATTTAATTTTATTTATTTATTTATTTTGAGACAGAGTCTCACTCTGTCACCCAGGGGAGTGCAGTGGCACAATCTCAGCTCACTGCAACCTCCATGTCCTGGGTTCAAGCAATTCTCCTGCCTGGGCCTCCTGAGTAGCTGGGACTACAGATGTGTGCCACCATGCTCGGCTAATGAATTTTAAACATAATATTTTACTATATATTCTCAATCTAAAGATAAAAATTTGATAACAAATATTGAACTAGAGTTGGCAGGTTTGTGTTTTACGGTGGTAAAAATGAGCAATTCTTTCTTATTTTGAGACAAGGTCTTGCTTTGTCACTCAGGCGGGCGTGCAGCGGCATGATCACAGCTCACTACAGCCTAGACCTCCCCAGGCTCAAGTGATCCTCCCATGTCAGCCTTCCAAGTAGCTGAGACTACAGGGGTGTGCTACCATACCCAGCTAATTTTAAAAACCTTTTTGTAGACCAGGCACGGTGGCTCATGCCTGTAATCCCAGCACTTTGGGAGGCTGAGGTGGGCGGATTATGAGGTCAGGAGATCAAGACCATCCTGGCTAAAATGGTGAAACCCCGTCTCTACTAAAAATACAAAAAATTAGCCGGGCGTGGTGGCGGGCGACTATAGTCCAGCTAATCGGGAGGCTAAGGCAGGGGAATTGCTTGAATCCGGGAGGCAGAGGTTGCAGTGAGCCGAGACTGTGCCACTGCACTCCAGCCTGGGTGACAGCATGAGACTCTGTCTAAAAAAAAAAAAAAATTTGTAGAGACGAGGTCTCCTTATGTTGCCTAGGCTGGTCTTGAACTCCTGGACTCAAGAGATCTTCCTGCCTTGGCCTCTCAAAGTGCTAGGATTACAGGTGTGAGCCACTGCACCCAGCCAGGATTAGCAATTCTGAAACTACTTTCTGTGTTTTTTTGGAAATGAGCAAATGAGTAATATACTAAGAATAATGAAGCAAGGATCCTCAGTGTTTAATGAAGTCAGAAAAAGGGAAAGAGAGAAGACTAGAATGAACTCTGCAGTGCTGAAATGGAATTGGAAATATCAGTATAAACTTATAGTTTTAATACGTAGGTAACTATATAGAAATAAACATGCACATTGATATGGTTTGGCTGTGTCCCCACCCAAATCTCATCTTGAATTATAACTCCCATAATTCCCACGTCTCATGAGTGGGACTCGTTAGGAGGTAACTGAATAATGGGGGCAGGTCTTTCCCATGCTTTTTTCATGATTGTGAGTGAGTCTCATGACATCTCATGGTTTTAAAAGGTGAGTTTCCCTGCACAAGCTCTCTCTCGTCTGCTGCCATGTGAGACATCCCTCTCACCTTCCGCCATGATTGTGAGGCCTCGCCAGCTATGTAGAACCATAAGTCCATTAAACCTCTTTCTTTTGTAAATCGCCCAGCCTCAGGTATGTCTTTATCGGCAGTGTGAAAATGGACTAATACACATGCACATGTGGGCTATGGGTTGTACTGTCTCTGAAAACAGTATGTTCGTCCAGGTGCAGTGGCTCATGCGTGTAATCCCAGCACTTTGGAAGGCTGAGGCAGGTGGATCACCTGAGGTTGGGAATTCAAGACCAGCCTGGCTAACATGGTGAAACCCCATTTCTACTAAAAATACAAAAATTAGCCGGGCATGGTGGCAGGCACCTGTAATCCCAGCTGCTCAGGAGGCTGTGGCAGGAGAATCGCTTGAACCTACTGGAGGTTGCAGTGAGCCGAGACTGTACAACTGCACTCCAGCCTGGGTGGCAGAACGAGACTCCGTCGAAAAAGATATGTTCAATCCTCACTCCTAGTACCTCAGAATGTGAAGTCTGCTGGAAAGAGGGTCACCACATATGTGTCTGGCTAAGACAAGGTCATACTGGAGTAGCAGGGTAGGTCCTTGACCCAATATGACTGAAGTCCTTGCGAGAAGAGAAGAGACAGAGACACACAGGGACAGTGGCAAGTGAAGACAGAGAGGAGACTGGAGTGATGCCACTGCAAGCCAAGAACACCCAGAACTGAGGTCACCGCCAGAAGTAACAGCTCTACCCAGTGTCTCAGAGGGGGCGTGGTCCTGCTGACACCTTGATTCCAGACTTCTGGACTCCAGAACCGTAAGAGAATAAATTTCTGTTCTTTTTTTTTTTTTTTTTGAGACGGAGTCTCACTCTGTCGCCCAGGGTGGAGTGCAGTGGTGCAATCTCGGCTCACTGCAACCTCCGCTGCCCGGGTTCACGCCATTCTCCTGCCTCAGCCTCCCAAGTAGCTGGGACTGCAGGCGCCCGCCACCACACCCAGCTAATTTTTTTGTATTGTTTTAGTAGAGACAGGGTTTCACCGTGTTAGCCAGAATGGTCTTGGTCTCCTACCTCAGGATCTGCCCGCCTCGGCCTCCCAAAGTGCTGGGATTACAGGCATGAGCCACCGTGCCTGGCCGAGCCTGGAACATCTTGTGGTGCAGAAAGAATGGTGGAGACGGCCCCAGGAGACTGAAACCAAGCAGGCAGCTCCCACTGCCCAAACCGCACCCACCCCAGCCTCAAAACTCCACAGTAATGGATAATCCTTAGTACAAATAAGCAAATAATAAACAAATGCTACCACGTACAGCAGAATTCCAGCTAGTACCTGCAGAGGGAATGAAGGAGTTAAAACTCAGCTGGGCACGGTGGCTCATACCTGTAATCCCAGCACTTTGGGTAGCCGAGGCGGGCAGATCATCTCAGGTCAGGAGTTTGAGATCAGCCTGGCCAACATAGTGAAACCCTGTCTCTATTAAAATTATAAAAATTAGCCAGGCATGGTGGCATGCATCTGTAATCCCAGCTACTCCGGAGGCTGAGGCAGGAGAATCGCTTGAACTCGGAAGGCAGAGGCTGCAATGAGCCAAGATCACACCACTGCACTCCAGCCTGGGCAACAGAGTAAGACTCTGTCACAAAAAAACAAAAAAAAAAACCAAAAAAACAACTCACTGCTGTTCAACCACCAGTGTGAAGATAACTGATTCGGACAGGAATCGTCGACAGATGTTAAAACGACCGGGACAAATTTTAATGAGGGAGTTTGTTTACATCATCTCAAATTATCTCCCTACAAATTATAACTTTTAAACAGAAAAATGGTAACATGACAGTGGGAACACCTGGCAGCCACCACCTCACCCCAGGGACAGAAGTCACCATGAGCAGTGAGGGGACAGTTGCCGCCTTGGGCTCCAGGTGCGCCCCGCTGAGGACACGCCCTCCATCTATGGTCTTCTGGAAAAGAGGCCTAACTCTGGACTGAGGAAATACCCTTCTGCCAGCTTCTTTCCAGAGCTGCAGCACTGTCACACATTTACCCACTGTACAGGTTAAATTCCAGTCGCAGACCACCTAGGTCACCTCCTAGAGCCACCACACGTAGCTCACTAACCGGAAGTTAGGCCAGGCAACGAGCAAAGTCCTGGCTTGTGCCATGTAGCTCTCAGAAAACCCTCAGGCATGGGACTAAAATTCCGGGTAGCATGGTTTATGTGTCTTCTCAGGATTCGACACAGAACTTGGATACGCAAAATCCTGTTTTAAAATGCCTTTCCCAGATAACACAGCTCTCCTGATTCCACCAAAGACTTGTGGGAAATGCAGACACAATGGCTTCTACCAACACTCACGGAAGGTGGAGGTTGCTGAGTAAACCGGAGCTCTTCTGCAGAAAATGCCCCTGTGACAAGCTAGGGTTCCCTGTGAATCACACCTCAAGTGTCCCCAGGCACCAGGAGGCTGAGGTCACTGCATGCTGACCTCTGCCCAACAGGTATGGCCCGAGGCAGCAGCTCTGGGTCTCTTGGGGAAACAGGTGACACACATGAAATTGGTTTCCAGATAAGATGGAACCAGCCTGCCTGTGTCCAGGGTCCCCCATGGGTCCAGGGGCCTCCTGCCGCCCACAGTGGGGACGAGTGCAGCTACCTGGGTGTAAGGCCCCAGCAGATGGCTCTGAGCAGCTGCACGCATGGCACTGGGTGCACCGTGCTGATCTGCACACAGAAGTGTTCACGTCACCTCCCGGGGTGTGGGGAAGGAGGCGCCTGGCCATCCCCTCCCTGCTGCTGTGATGTATGTGGTACTGCAGGGGTGCAGACTCGGGATGGAGAGGCCGAGGGCCGCCCATGCCTCACTTTAGAGGACAAATACATTTTTACCAAGGAAACCTCTGGGGAGTTCACTCATTTTTCTCTCCTATGTATCCATGATTTCCCATTTTTCTATAATTTTGATATATTACTTGTGTAAGAATATTTTTGCAATTAATTCCAAGCATAAACATCTTTTAAAAATGTTGAGGAAAATGGACACCATAAAGGTGAGTTAAACAGAGACGGTGGTCTTCACGGTTTGGTTTCCATGGACCACTCCCAGCCCGGCCTGGAGGCCCCCTGAGCTGAAAAGCCAAGCCAGGTGCTGCCACCTGCAGCCCAGAGCGCGTGGCCATGACCCTGGAGAATGGCCTCAGTGATGCAACACACCTGGGCCTGACCCACGGCCCCACAGGAAACGCGGTCCTGCACCCAGGGGTCCTGAACAGACGACAGCCACAGCAGGCAGGACTGGGCCGTGGGGCAGCTGCGCCTCTCCTCTCTCTCATCAGAGCTCTCATCAGAGCTCGGCATCCTGTCTCCTGAGACACAAAACTCTGGGCCTACAAGTCAGTAAGAATTCAGCCACATGTGGGTGGGACGCGGAGATCAGAGGCAAGCACAAGCACTTATTTGTAAAAGTGCTCCTAACACTCGCATGTGCACACACCTGCACTCCTCTACGTCTGGATGGAGCTCAGTGGCCAGGCACCTTGCTTGGTGCCCTGGTCATCCCCCCAGGCTGTTGGTGTCTATGGGAAGGCATGGTGGGTGACACAGACATGTCCCTGGCACGCGCTGACACTGTATAGATGCTGAGCTCAGTGAGCAGAGAAGGAACCTCAGCCAGAATGACCGCCACCCGGTGTGCGGAGCCCAGGGCAGGGCTGTCCCAGGACTCAGGCCCTACTATGAGGCTGAACCTCAGGATACTGCCAGCATCCACCGTTTCACCACCAATCACATCACTTCATGCTGTCCATGGGCGGTGGGTGGGAGGGTGGCTTCCCCACACTCCAACATGCCAGCACGGAAGCATAAGAAGCAGACTCACCCCACTTCCACCATCAGGCAAACAGAAAGCCAGGAGATGCAGCCCCACGCAAGCCCCACGTGCAAAGCCATGACCATCCACCCGAGGGTAGACCCGAGGCTGCCTGTGCACACAGAAGACACTGGAGGGCCTGCGTGCTCTTCATGTGAGAAGTGATGGGGAGCAGCAAGAGCAGGGAGACAGGGACCTGGTGACATGGAGGAAGCCTGCGGGGACATGGGTCCCTGAGCGCCTCGCCTGTGGGCGCCTGTGTGGCGGGCACGCTCACCGGTTGGTAGAGCCGTTGTAGCAGTAGTTGGGCAGGAAGTCATAGTTGAGCTCCCAGAAGACGTGCAGGGTGATCCTCCCGTAGGGCGCTGACACGTTGTGGTTGGCCTCCCGGAACATGGCGTCGAAGCCGTCCAGCGTCAGGTACCGGCTCAGCAGCTTGTGGGTCATGCGGTTGATTTCCAACAGGCCATCCAGCTCCTGTGGCACCAAAGACAGGGGTGGGTGACAGAGCTGGTCCAGGCAGGAAGGAGGCGCCGAGTGGCCTCTGATCCCACCCAGGCCTCACAGTCCCTGGCAGGGCTGCACGGAGGCAGCCCCCAGTGAGCGTAGGCTCTGACAGGTGACATGAGCTTGCTTCTTGGCACCCCACCTTTTCAGTCACCCCCACTGGGTCATGCCTTTCTCCACTGCAGTCACCTCCACGCCACCTACCCCTGCTGTCCAGCACCCTGTGGGGCAGCGTGCACGTGTGGCCTGCTACTGCCACCCTTCCCCCCATGTGCCCGCTGAGCCCCGGCCCTGCCCTGCAGTATAACCCAGCCGGCGGCTGCATCTCCCTGGGCGTTGGAGCTGAGCCAGCTTTCTCTGAGGTGCCTGAAGTCACTGAAAGGCACGTGTGGGTGGCAGGGCAGGTGCACTTGTTCCCACAGGCCTTGCAAGCCCTCACGTGCGCTGCTCTGGAGCTCGCCCAGGCTGCACTGTCCGATGTGGCAGCCGGGGCCGGAGCACAGCTGCTCCCACCTGAGGCGCACTACATGAGACACCAGATTTCAAAGACTGAGTAGGACAAAACAGACTAGCAAATACCCACCTCAACTATACTGCCATAGGAATGACGTGGTGAATTAATATGGGGATACAGTGGATTAAGTATGTTATTAAAAATAACTTCACCTATTTCCTTTTCTAATGAGACTATGGGAAAATTTCAAATTACGGATCTGACTTGTGTTCTATTTCTATTGGACAGTAATGGCCTCGATCAAAGCCTCGACCAATGATTTTACTCAAAATCATATTTGGCCAATGCCAACAGAAACACCATGGCCTGTACCAAATTACGCTCGTAGAAAAAGGCCGCCACAGGTCTGTCTCTGAGTCCCAGCCTGTTTGACTCTAAGGATGAATACGCAGGGCCCTGCTCTGAAGTGCAGAGATGCTCACAGGGACACGCACTGTGCCCGCCAGCGCCCAGTGTCTGCCAGCCAAGGTCTGTTCTCCAGGAATGAACAATCCTCTGGAGCCCTGGCACGTTCATTACCATCTGTCTGCAGCCTTTATTCTCAGAAGATCAATTTGGCTGGCGACCAAACCCTCGATTCACAGTTCCTTTCCTTGGCTCTGGTGAAGGTCTGAGGACAATCGGATTTTCCTTCCCTGCCTGCCCTGCTCAGACAGCCCAAGGACTTCTTCCTCACCTGGAAAGTCCAAAACTTTCACTGCAATACCGTTTTTAAATGTATTATTATTATTTTTTCTAATCTTCAACCAGCCTAAGATGCAGTATTTCTAAGTGTTGACAAGCTTGGGTCGGTTTTACCAAATACATGATGTATGCTTTTAATAGACACTTTCAAGGTGTCTTCTATTTTATCAATATTTTCTTGAAATAGATGCCAGTCGGCCCTGTTCCGTTGCTTTGGTTTTCTTCTTGAGGAAGCTGTATGACAGGTACACTGAATCTTCATCATCCATGATGATGATCATCTGAGAACATCATTTCCTCTCAAATCCTTTTTCTGCTTTAATTTCTTTTTGATTTTAAAAATGTTCCCTCTTTTCATTCCTTTTTTTTTTTTTTGAGACAGAGCCTCAAAAACTCCTGGGTTCAAGCGATTCCCCTGCCTCAGCATCCCGAGTAGCTGGGACTACAAGCGTGTGCCACCATGCCTGGTTAATTTATTGTATTTTTTAGTAGAGACGGGGTTTACCATGGTGGCCAGGATGGTCTCGATCTCCTGACCTCGTGATCCATCCACCTTGGCCTCCCAAAGTGCTGGAATTATAGGAGCGAGCCACCGAGTGCCCAGCCTTCATTCTTATTTCTGTTTTTTTTTTTGTTTTTGTTTTGAGACGGAGTCTCGCTCTGTCACCCAGGCTGTAGTACAGTGGAACGATCTCGGCTCACTGCAACCTCTGTCTCCCGGGTTCCTGCCATTCTCCTGCCTCAGCCTCCCGAGTAAGCTGGGACTACAGGTGCCCGCCACCACACCCGGCTAATTTTTTTATTTTTAGTAGAGACGGGGTTTCACCATGTTAGCCAGGATGGTCTTGATCTCCTGACCTCGTGATCTGCCTGCCTCAGTCTCCCAAAGTGCTGGGATTACAGGCATGAGCCACTGTGCCCGGCCTTTTCTCTTTTCAAAACTTTCTTTTTTCCAATAACCTTATTTCTCGATTTATTTTTTTTTTTCTTTGAGACAGAGTCTTGCTCTGTTGCCTAGGCTGGAGTGCAATGGTACAATCTTGGCTCACTGCAACCTCTGCCTCCTGGGTTCAAGCAATTCTCCTGCCCCAGCCTCCCAAGTAGCTGAGATTACAGGCATGTGCCACCACGCCCGGCTAATTTTTTGTATTTTTAGTAGAGATGGGGTTTCACCACGTTGGCCAGCCTGGTCTTGAACTCCTGACCTCAGGCAATCCACCCACCTCAGCCTCCAAAAGTGCTGGGATTACAGGTGTGAGCCACCGTGCCCAGCCTATTTCTGGATTTCTAAAAATTCTCATTTATATTATTCTTTCACAGCAACTACTATTTTTTTTTTTTTTTTTTTTTGAGACGGAGTCTCGCTCTGTTGCCCAGGCTGGAGTGCAGTGGCACAATCTCGGCTCACTGCAACCTCCGCCTCCCGGGTTCACGCCATTCTCCTGCCTCAGCCTCCTGAGTAGCTGGGACTACAGGCGTCCGCCATCAAGCCTGGCTAATTTTTTGTATTTTTAGTAGAGACGGGGTTTCACCATGTTAGCCAGGATGGTCTCGATCTCCTGACCTCGTGATCCGCCCGCCTCGTCCTCCCAAAGTGCTGGGATTACAGCCGTGAGCCACAGCGCCCGGCCAGCAACTACTACTTTCTTCATTTCTTTTAGCTCACTGTGAAAGATGAAGTTACAGTTTCCATGGTCCGTGGGTGTCTGTCTGACGTGCCTCCACTGTCTGTAGGGACACTGCTGTGCACTTACATTTTCTTTTTTAGTGTAATACGTCTAAAGGGGATTGGACCATGATCTTTACCTGTGGCTCGACTGGAAGTGAAATAAGCTCTCTCATGCTTCTGAAGAGGAAGAGGGGTTGGTCAGGGCCAAGAGTAACAGCACTGGCTCAAGCCTTCTGAGACCTGCCTCTCATGCTCCCCTCCGCCATGATCCTAACCCTTACCAGCTTACATGCTATTCCCAGCAGCTTCTCCCATGGGCAGCTTTGTCTTAGGAGGGAATTTTGATTTATTCAATTCCAGAGTCAGCAGGGCCTACTGTTTTAGCTCCCTGAAACCTGTTCTCATCTCAGGCATCTTTGAAGAGCTCTGTCTAAATTATTCTCTGTAGGCCACCAGCCTGGGCTCCTTGACTCCAATGGTGCCAGGTGGCGGGCAGCACAACTCATGTGTACTCAAATTGCCTGACTCACAGGGGTGCCAGCGTTGGCACAGGGGTGCCAGTGTTGACTAAAGGACTGTGGTATCCCCAGGGCTGGCACAAACGATCGGCCTTCGGAAGTCTCATTGATCTGGATAAAGGGAAAAGCCCTAGGCCGACCAATACCAGCCTAACTTGAATCATCATAAAAGAAATTCATGGCTCCTCAACCAGTTCTCAGACCCAGAGCTCCTTGGGTGAAGGGGAGAAAGGACCTTGTGCATTTTGTTAGAAAATGCACACTGTAAACCCTCCCCCTGCTCCCACAGTGGAAACGGACGTGTGGCCATGCACCAATGACCACGCACTGGAGAAGGGAAGACAACCAGCCCATTCAGGCTTACTGCCTACTAGCTCTGATTAAATCCTAAAGATTCAAAGGCACCACAGGCCGAGGGTCAGAGTTGGGGGGTGGTCAGGTGATCCACAGAGCTGTGGTTCGGGGGCCCGCTCACTGAGGTCCCCCTGTGGCTCCGGCCCTGGCTCCAGCATGTGTAGTTGGGTGGCACACCTGAGTGGCAGGCCGGTGTCTTCTGTCCACGTTAAGGTCTTTCTGCCATCTTCTCTTCAGACAAGTCTTCCGTGACACCACTCTCTCTCTCATCTCCTCTAACACTCCAGTTACACGTTAGGTCTTTCCACTGTTTTCTACATTTCTTATGCTCTTTTCTGTCTCATTCATTTTTATTTTTCTCTGTTCCCCAGTTCAGATGTTTTTAACCTCTGTTTTCCTGTTCCTTAGTCTTGCCTCTTCCTGTGTTCAAATTGTGATAGAGACACAGGGAAAAATGGCAGACAGAAGGTAGGACTAACTGGCAGCTCCCATTCAGACGAACACAGCAGTGTGTGAAGACTCACACTGCAAATTTTTGCTTCAAGAAATACCACAGGAACATACCAGGAAAGCAGAGAATCCAAAGACCCTCTGAAGGAAGCGGCTTGCCTCTGTAGGCTCCGTGAGACAGCCGAAAAATGGGTGAGCGCCCAAAGAGGGTGAGCGGGGAACGTTGGCCCCGAACACACATCCTCACTGGGAAACCTGAAGGTCCAGATAACAGGAGAAGGATTAGACCTTACCTGGAGATGAGATGAATTCAGACAGCCAAGCGAAATGTAGGGGTAGAAGAATTAGCAGGAAGACCCTTGTGGGCTCTCTTGGTCCCTAAAGAAGATATTTCTTTTTTTTTTTTTTTTTTTTTTTTTTTTTGAGACAGAGTCTTGCTCTGTCGCCCAGGCTGGAGTGCAGTGGCGCGATCTGGGCTCACTGCAACCCTGCCTCCTGGATTCAAGCGATTCTCCTGCCTCAGCTTCCGGAGTAGCTCGGACTACAGGTGCCTGCCACCACGCCCGCCTAATTTTTGTAGTTTTAGTGGAGATGGGGTTTCACTATGTTGGCCAGGCTGGTCTCAAACTCCTGACCTCAAATGATCCACCCCCGCAGGCCTCCCAAAGTGCTGGGATTACAGGCATGAGCCACCGTGCCAGCCAAAGTTAAACATTTTTATCTCCTAGCTCGTTCATACTAAAATGTAAACACGTTATTAAGTGGTGTGCTACCTTTTGCCATAGTTGGCGATTTTTTCAAGATTGGGGTTATGTGTTTGTTAAGTCAATTTAGCATTGTGAACACTGAGTGTAGGCTTGGTATAGGCCACGCCCGATGAGTGCATCTCTTTTATTATCTATACAAGAGGCTTGGTATAGGCCACGCCCAGTGAGTGCATCTCTTTTATTATCTATACAAGAGGCTTGGTATAGGCCACGCCCGATGAGTGCATCTCTTTTATCATCTATACAAGAACTGGACCTACCCTTAGTCCAATTTATCAATAGGGCAAAGTGAAATTACTTACAACTATGGAGGTCAAATCTTCACTTTCAAATCGTCCAATCGCCAGTTCTAGGGACTTATACATGGCTGCTGAGACGCGCTGGGTGATCAGACGATTGAGGTCTATTGATCTGCCGAGGAGCTGGCGTACACAGGGAAGGATGGCAGGTAAAGAGTGGACATGAGCAGCTCGAAAACAACAAACGCCTCACCAGAGACCCTGGAGAAGCTGGTCTGTCAATAACGACACCCTTTACAACCACGTTCAAGACCCATCTCCCCACATACATGGCAGCCTGTGTGTGTCTTTTTACAGGTGTTATGACGATAAATAAAATTACTCCATCTCTATTTTGGCCTACTAGGAACATATCCATACTTCAGTGTTGTTCTAACTACATAAAAATATGACAAAGCCCTGGTGAAAATGTCCAAAAATGTGCATGATGATTATTCGTGTATAGAGAGTAGAATTAAATGCAATTTTTTTTAGTTTTCCATATTTTACTAACTAGTTTTGTGTGTGTAATGTAACATCACTTTTAATTTTTAATTTTTTTTCTTTTTTTAATGTTTGTGGGTACGCAGTAAGTGTACATATTTATGGGGTACATGAGATGTTTTAATACAGGCATGCAATGTGAATCTTTTTTTAAAAGCTGTAAAAAATAAGCACTGTATATCTTTAAATTCTTCCTGCTGGCCAGGAGAAAGTTTTCTCTGATACTCTGAGCTGATGAGTGCTTCTCACCTTCATTCTTTTTAAGCTCTGGCTTTTGGGCTCCTGGAGAAGGGCTGACCCCTCCGGGCTATGCCTGCCCCCAGGAGCCGCAGGGCAGATACAGAATGCTGCAGGTGTTCCCTGTGTGTGAGGTGACCCAATAGAAACGGTGTGTCTTTCAATGCCTAACAATTTATAAGGACGTTCACAGTCACAAGGCATGCTGATATCTAAACCTAGCTAGCTATAAGAAATCTCAATCATTTTTTTTTTCTTTTTTTTGAGACGGAGTCTTGCTCACTCTGTCACCCAGGCTGGAGTGCAGTGGTGCAATCTCAGCTCACTGCAAGCTCCACTTCCCAGGTTCAGGCGATTCTCTTGCCTCAGCATCCCAGAGCGGCTGGGACTACAGGAACCCACCAGCACGCCCAGCTAATTTTTGTATTTTTAGTAGAGATGGGGTTTTGCTATGTTGGCCAGGCTGGTCTTGAACTCCTAACCTCAGGTGATCCGCCCACCTTGGCCTCCCAGTGTTGGGATTACAGGCGTGAGCCACCGCACCCAGCCGAAAACCCAGTCTTTTCAATGCACACTCTACGTCCCCACCACAGCCCGGCCCCAGCTCACCTGCACATGCCTCTGCTTCAGCAGCGTCTCGTAGCGGTTAGACGGCGGGAGGTGGATCGTGGCTCCCTGATTCTTGCATTCTGATCGTAACCGTTTATCAAGAAGCAAACTAGTGTAGAAGGAAGACAGAAAGTTTTTCATACGCCATAAATTGTAATGGGAATGTCAGATCAAATTATGAAACGTTTTGTATCAAAATCACACACCAGATACTCACCTTCCTGCCATAACCTTATAATAGGCAAATATCTGGTCTGCTAGCTTGTAAACAAATTGGTCAAAACATAGATTCACCTGAAGAAAAAGAAAGCACACGTTACAGTTTGATTCCCTAAAGCAAGATCAAATAACAAGGTGAAAAACAAAATGTTTCGTTAAGGCAACTAACTGAGGCTCTTTTATTTTTTTGAGACGGAGTCTTGCTCTGTTGCCCAGGCTGGAGCGCAGTAGTGCGATCTTGGCTCACTGCAATCTCTGCCTCAAGTGATTCTCCTGCCTCAGCCTCCTGAGTAGCTGGGATTATAGGTGCCCACCACCATTAGCCTGGTGTGGTGGCACGTGCCCGTGGTCCTGGCTACTCGGGAGGCTAAGCACAAGAATCGCTTGAACTCACACCACTGCACTCCAGCCTCGGCGACAGAGCAAGACTCCACCTCAAAAAAGAAAAATAAACTAAAGAAACTAGCAATAATCTTACTGTCCAACAACAGCACACTAAATAAACTGCAGTGTGGCCAGGAGTGACTACCACACTGCCACAGAAAACTAGGCTAGAACCAATCTTACTGAGGGAGAAAAATATTCCTATTCTCTGAAATGCAAGAGAGAATCAACAAGGCTCTCTTCACTGTGTGCAGTGACCACGAGGAGCTACTGTGCATTGCAGGTGGGTTCCTGCCCTGGGGCAGCTCCGCCTACTGTGCACTCCAGGAGGCACCACCGAGGGCCTTCCCTGGAGCAAAGCGGCTGTTCTGGGTGTGAGATTGGTCAGGAGGTACCCTCAAAAGACCCTTACTTGCAGATGGGATTCGCACTATCTCCTGGAACTGTGAGGAGAATACCTGTGCTTCGTGGCAAGTGGGACCCAGGACCCATCTGCCCAGCAGACAGGGCCAAGAAGGGCGTCTCTGCCCTCCTCCCATCCTGCAGGGCCGGGGACCTGTGACATCTCCCTGAAGCACCATTTTCAGGTGGTCTTTGTGAGAAGGCAGAGGAGATGATGTGTAGAATAAGGTTCATCTCCTTAAATGTGCATACACTAACCTGAGAATTCCACCTGTGGGAATTTGTCCTATAGAAGTCATGCGATGCAAATAAAAAACATGCCAGGGAGTGCAGCAGAGTGCTATTTATAAAATCCAAAACCAAAAAAATAGAGAAATAAAACAGGAGTTGCTTCAGTTGAACATCAAAGATCATGCTCATAACCAAAAATAGATGAGGACACAGACACCGCAGTGACACACGGTCAAGTGAAAAAGCGCATCCTGCACTCATCGTGGAAGCATATCCACAGAGGAAGGGCTTGCTCCCACATGCTTGCTTCGTGGTTTATACTGTCTTATATTTTAAAGAAAGTTGAATACTTGGGAGAAAACAAAAAGAGAAAGGAGATTTAATTGAAGGAAATGAACAGAAATGGAGCTGCAGGGGCCTCACCTCGGCCTCAATTTCGTCGTACAGGAACTGCTTGTTGAACCTGGTGAGCGCGTAGTGGGCGCTGTCATTGTACAGGTCCAGGGAGTAGAGCACGTACCTGCAGAGGACAGCAGCAGTGTGACCAGCAGCCTCTGCCACTCACTCGCAGCTCCGACAGCCTCGCCCCACCTCAGAAACTCAACTCCATTTTCCACCTCTCACGTAAGGAAAAACAACTTTCACTTCAAACACCAGTCCTCCTGTGAAAGCACGTGGTGGCTGCGCCTGAGGCGGCCGCCACACCCACCAGGCTGCGAGGATGCTTGGGGACAGCAGACGCTCACTGAAGGCCACACACGGACAAGGGCCTCCACCTGCCTGCATCTTCTCACTTAGCAGACTTTAAAATATTTCACTACAAGTACATAGGATTTTTAACAAAAGAAAATTATTTTCTTATTTCCAGAATGAACTCCAAGGACCAGGCTTGGTGGTTCATGCCTGTAATCCCAGCACTTTGTGGGGCTGAGGTGGGCAGATCACTTGATTGAGGTGAGGAGTTCAAGACCAGCCTGGGCAATACGGCAATACTGTCTCTAACAAAACTACAAAAAACTATCTGGGCGTGGTGGCGCACGCCTGAGTCCCAGCTACTTGGGAGGCTGAGGTAGAAGGATCACTTGAGCCTGAGAGGTTGAGGCTGCAGTGAGCTGAGATCGTGCCACTACACTCTAGCCTGTGTGACAGAGTGAGACCCTGTCCAAAAAAAATGATAGAGAATGAACTCCAGCACTTTAGGTGGATGAGGCAGGAAGATAACATGAGGCCAGGAGTTTGAGACCAGGTTGGACAACATAGCAAGACCCCGTCTCCATGAAACACAAAACAATTAGCCAGGTGTGGTGGCGCATGCCTGTAGTCCCAGCTACTCAGGAGGCTGAGGCAGGAGGATCACCTGAGCCTGGGAGGTTGAAGCTGCAGTGAGCTGTCTTTGCACCACTGCACTCCAGCCTGGGCAATAGAGCAAGACCTTGTCTCTGTTGGGGGGAAAAAAAAAAAGAATGAACTGACTGGAAAAGAACAAAGGTGGACTGGGCGCGGTGACTCATGCCTGTAATCCCAGCACTTTGGGAGGCCGAGGTGGGCGGATCACTTGAGGTCAGGAGTTCGAGACCAGCCTGGCTAACATGATGAAACTCATCTCTACTAAAAATACAAAAATTAGCCGGGCGTGGTGGTGGGTGCCTGTAGTCCCAGCTACTTGGGATGCTGAGGCCGGAGAATTGCTTGAACCCGGGAGGCATAGGTTGCAATGAGCTGAGATTGTGCCACTGCACTCCAGCCTGGGTAACAGAGCAAGGCTCTGTCTCAAAAAAAAAAAAAAAAAAAAAAAAGAAAGAAAGAAAAAAAAGAAAAAATTACACCAACGGAAGTACATAGACAGCATTAAAAAAAAAAAAAAAAAAAAAAGAACAAAGGTGAAGGTCCTGGATCCCACAGCTCACCAGGAGCATGTCCAGCATGGCCCATGGTTGAAGGCCCGTCTCCCACTACCTCATATCTGGACAAAGGCCATGGCCAGGGGCAAGGAGGCCCATGCCTGAAGGAGGCCTCCAAGCTGGTTCCAGCTCCTCACGCCACCCCAATGCTGTGCAACGAGCCATCAGAGGCTCTGCCCACACAAATGGCATGGCCATGCCACAGCCACAGAGAGTGGAAGGTGACTGCCCTTACCATCTCCTGGGCACCACAAGGGATGTGTGAGGACTGACGCACAAGGAACTCAGGGGCTTCCCACTCACGGTGCTCAGAAGACAGACCGGCTGGGCGGCTCCCCAGTCGCTCACCATGAGACACACCCTTTTCCAAACACTTTCCCTTCCATGAACTTTATATTTTGAAAGACTGCCCTTCCATCTAGGTCCACAGTCCTGATCCCCAGAACAAAGCTGTTCAATCAATACTTCCTTTCCCCACTTCATCTGGGTCAGAGGCTGTGTCACACAAAAGGCCAGGCCACAGGGCTCCCGCAAGGCAGCTCACGGGCATGGCCACCTCACAGGGCCTGCACTACGAAGGCCTGGGGAAGGTCCAGGTTCATCCATCTCCCTGGTCCAGGCTGAGTCCCCGGGTCCCAGCCAGCACCCATGCAAAGTAGGAACGTGACTGGTTCTAGTGCCTGAGCTCTCAATTCCAGTCTGACACCAAGAAACTGGTTAGTTACTTGTATTAATCTCTAAAGCTTTACCCCAGGAAACATGATTTCTCTTTTTTTTTTTTTTATTTGGAGACAGGGTCTTGCTACGTGGCCAGGCTGGAATGCAGTGGTGCAATCCATAGCTCAATGCAGCCACAAATTTCTGTGGTAAAGCAATCCTCCCGCATCAGCCACCACACCAGGCTAAGTTTTCTCATTTTTGTAGAGACTGGGGTCTTGCTATTTTGCCCAGGCCCAGAAACTTGATTTCAAATACAATACTAAAAACAGTCCCGGCCTCTCCGCCACCTCCTCTGAGGACCCCCGGTCACCACACACAAAGGCTGGAGACAGGCCCGCAGGACACGCACTCCATCATCGATGCCTCCTTGGTCTCCAGGATGTGGTCCGTCAGGATCCAGGGCATCGACATCTCAATGGGGAACTGGATCCTCCTGCCCATGGTCAGCTCCAGGAAGAACTCTCGGAACCACAGCTGCGAAAGGTCACAGCACTGCTGCAGCGTTTCTGGGAGGGTTCAAACAACTCCATGTTATCTCCCGCAAGCAAAAAAAAACCTTTAGCAGAGATGACACAAGGGCTGTGTGCTGGGTGCCTGCTCCTCCTCGCTCAGCCCCAAGCCATGCAGCATGGACATGAGTGGGGAGGGGTCACCGGGGCCTTGCACTAGGGACAGGACCAGCTGGGCATAGCTGCAGGTAAAGCCACCTCATCAACCCTGTGAGCCCTTCAGTGGGATCCAGGGGGAAAGTGTCTTTTTTTTTTTTTTGAGACAGAGTCTATCTCACTCTGTCACCCAGGCTGGAGGTGAGTGGCGCGATCATAGCTTACTGCAGCCTTCAACTCCTGGGCTCAAGCGATCCTCCTGCCTCAGCCTCCCAAGTAGCTGAGAACACAGGCACGTGCCACCAACTGATTTTGTATTTTTTATAGAGATGGGGGTCTCGCCATGTTGCCCAGGCTGGTCTCAAACTCCCGAATTCAAGTGATTCTCCTGCCTTGGCTTCCCAAAGTGTTAGGATTAACAGGTATGAGCCACTGTGTCTTACCTAAAAATGTTCTTCTCAAAAGGAGACATAAAAACAGGACTTCTGGCTGGGCACAGTGGCTCACGCCTGTAATCCTAGCACTTTGGGAGGCCGAGGCGGGTGGATCACAAGGTCAGGAGTTTGAGACCAGCCTGGCCAACATGGTAAAACCCCATCTCTACTAAAAATACAAAAATTAGCCAGGCGCAGTGGTGAGCACCTATAATCCCAGCTACTTGGGAGGCTGAGGGAGGAGAATCTCTTGAACCTGGGAGGCGGAGCTTGCAGTGAGCTGAGATCGCCCCACTGTACTCTAGCCTGGGTGACAGAGCAAGACTTCGTCTCAACAAAAAACAAAACAAAAAAACAGGACTTCTTCACTTTCACTTAGGATAAAAACCAATGTCCAGGCTGCAGCATTAGAGGCACACTCAGGGAGGTCTGTCTAACGCAAAAATGAGACAGATTAAAAGAGCCCACACTCGAACTCCATCCTTTCATGGAGTTAACAGCAAAAGTGGTACTATTTCCTCCAATACCTCGCAGCACCCCAGCCAAGACAGCAGGGATCCTGTTCTGAGCAAGAGGTGGACAACGGAGGACTTGATGAGAACACGGGACAGACACACGGAGGGCAGAGAGCGCACCCACCGGTGGCCGGTCAAGGTGGCCGGGTGTCACCCAGGATGGGCTTGCCTGGCACAGGGCACCCGCCACCTTCCCCCCACGTCATGGTCTGCAAGGGCCATTTCTAGTATTTATCAATGCCTGTGTCTCAACTCAGGCACCAGATTACATTCGCCTGTTTCCAACCCCGCATGGGTTGAAAAGATTTTCTGTTCATGTCTCAGGGCCAGCCCGGGCTCCTCAGTTTATACCCTTGTAGGGACCACGCCCTGTGGAGCGAGCTCAGGCCAGGGACGTACAGCCACCGCCACAGAGGGCAGGACGAGTCACCGTCTGGGTGCACCAAGGGACGGGGTAGGGGGTGGTCAGGCGGGCGGAAGCATTCTAGACGGTGTTAGTGGTGTTAGGACATGCCAGGCCGGATGCTGCTCAGCAGTATCTCTTACCACTGAAATTTATCAAGTGAGTGTAGAAGAATGACTCTCGATGAAATTTTTCTATGTCCAATATGGTGGGCCCCTCAAGGCTACTTCTCAAGGTTTTCTTGGAACCACTTTTGTCTGCAATGAGGGACTCTAGCATGGTTCTCACCATGTAAAGCTGGATTATCCAAGGAAACATTTGTGGGGGAGAAAATATACATGGTACATTAGTTATGCCAAACTCAAAAAGCCCATGAGAGAAGGACTGCTCCGCTACGCCCTGGTCGGGAGGGCCCCGCACCAGCTCCCCGAGGGGTCCGGGTGCCTGTCTACGCGGCCACGTTGCTGCTGCTTTGGGGAAAGAACAACTTGTAGCGGAGCAGTTCGCCTCCGTGCCATAAACGTCAAGAGAAACAAATGATGTCTTACCACCAAAGGTTAAAAGGGGTAGGTAGGTGCACGACTGCCTCAGAAACGTGTTAACCGCATGCAAGAGCCTCTCCATGCCCAGAGACTTGAGCTGCCTGAGCAGCTCGGCAGAGCCCAAGGACTCGGCCATGGTGCGCACCAGGTAGAGCTAGACACGGACAGACAGGAGGGAGAGGCAGGAGAGAGACGTTAGTCACTCGACACACACACCCCAGGCAGGGACACGGGACGCACGCAGAGGGAGGCAGGGAGGGTGGCTGGCACCACGCACAGGCCGAGGGCCGTCCCCCTGACCCTCCTGCAGAGCCAGCAGCGTGCATTGCTGGTGACTTTCCAGAAGAGTGGCAGAAGAGATTAAAAGCCTCCGGCAGAGATGAGGGAGAAGACCAGCCCCAGGACGGAGGACAGACGCAGCGGTGTGGATTAAACCGGGTGTGAAAGTCGTGAGAAGCACCTCGGGGAGGCCTGAACACACCAGGAGAGAGGACAGTGGGCAGCTTAGGACCATGACACACGCAAGCAGCACCTCACAGTTTCCCACGCCCCATCTACAGTCATTTGCAGACCCAACGTAAAAATTATACAGACATTCAAACACCCATCAAGAAACACAGAATGAATACAGACACGTGGACTTGTGCCCACATTTTTGGGATGGGAGTTGAAATGGAGTCAGACTCCTTTTTAGTGCACATGACACATCTGACAATCAAGGCACGTCTCCTCACGCTCCCAACTCACTTGGGTGGGAAACAGAGGAGCAGCAGAAACCACAGGCGCCACTTTCTCTGCCTGAGCAGGCAGCGAGGACCTCATTTAACCCGGGCCTCACCAGCCCCACCCGCTCACAGCTCAGGGTGGGTCCCCCCAGGGAGAGGGTGCAGGCGGGGCTCAAGGGACGAGAACCTGAGTGCTGGAGGGTCCCACGGCGCGGCGTGGTACTTTTATGTCGAAGCCGCTCTTGGGGTCCTTCTCGCCCCGCAAGGCTGGGTCATTGAAGGGCTCATGCCCCGTCTCCCAGTCACACACGGTCTTCCTGATGGCCTGCAGGACACTGAACACCCCACCAAGTGATCAGCAAGGCCCAGAGGCCGAGACCTCCAGCCTCACAATCACACCATCTCCTCACCCAACTACAAGGCTCTCAGAACAGCCCCCATGAAAATACAAATTACTCTGGGGGCCATGGAGGGATGTGGTAATGGACCAGCTCAACAGGAAAGTTAAAAAGGAGTCTGCCTTCTGGAGAGTATTACTACCCCCAGAAGACTGCCCTGAGCTCCAGTTCGCATCTGTTAGCCCAGGGCAGCAGTGAGGTGGCTCTGAGTCATGCTGTGGGCAGGGAGAGGGCAGAACACAGCCTCCGCACGGAGCAGAGCTGGGCCCCGCCTGCCCGCAGCTGGCTGTCCCCAGTAACCAACAGGAATGTGAAGTCACCCACATGACCAGAGCCTGGCCATGTCTCTCGACTGGTTTGGAACACAGCCTCATCACCAACAGGGCTCCACCGTGCAGAGACCCCCATAAGGCACCATGCATGAACCACAGGCACCGCGAGCCTGGGATAAATGCACCTTGTCCCGGGGTCCTCAGACTCCCTAGACACTCGGCAGCTGACTTACTGTCCATTGTTTGGGTTAATAATTGGACCCATGCATTACTTTTAGAGGTAATTCACCAAGAGGGCATCTGAAGGTTGAAGATAAATATATTGAAATCATTTTTGAGAATTTAACGCTCCTGTTGTTTGAATCCAAGTTCATCCGAGGACGTGTGGGCACAGCGGGCACAGGGCGTGGGGAAGGCTGACCTCTGGATGACGTTCTTCTTCTTCTTGATGGCCTGCCGCAGCGGCTCCCTAAGGGTCACCTGGGAGAAGTCCTGCAGTGCGGCATAGACGGTGTGCCGGATGGCGTGGTTGAACACGCTCTCCATCCTGCCCATCAGCACCTGCAGGCCTTTGATCATGGCGATCACCTGCGGGGGACACAGCAACAGGGACGGCCCTTCTTAGGGATGGCACCAAGCCTCCTCTGCCTGGCACATGCCGGGGGCTGCTCCTCCTCGCCCACAGCACCTTACGCCCTCCCGCGTTCGTGCCCTGCAGCTGCCCTGCCCCAAAACGTCTTCTCCAAAGCCATAGTCAATGGAACTGTGCCCGCATCTGACTCCCCATCAGACCATGAGCACCTGGAGGACAGGGATGCATCTGACTCGAAACACACATGCATCCACCCCAGCACACCCTCCTGTGATGGAATTCAAATAGGAAAGAAGAAAAAGACTCAGGAAAGCAGGCATGATATTACTAGAAAAAGAAGTTACAAGAGGTTGTAGTCCAAATCCCATATTGTTCACAACAAAGGCGCAGTGAACTACCATTCACAGAAAAAGCCTGGAAGACTCTGATGGAACATAATTACATGACAAAGAGCTTCCAAAGGAATTCCTGGGACAGAAAAATGGTGCCAGGGCTCATTATTTCCCTGTTTCCAGACAGTAATTTTGTCATGACAGTGTGCTTTATTACTTTCTGAATAAACAATTGAAGGTCACAAACCAAGTATGACCTTTACAATTGCATGAGCTTTCTTACGGCTTTTGCCGTTTATAAATATTTCTACAGCCAACTTCATGATAGCTATGTGAGGCCTAGAAATCTCTCTGAAAGCAGCAAGTGAGGCAGAGCAAGACACACTTACCCCAAGTCCACCCTGCCGTGTGGATGTCTGACATATAAGACACCAAAGTGGAACATTTAATAGCACCAGTGAAACATAATTCACTTCTTTTTATCTTTTAACTAGAACGCTGTACCTAAGACTAATACATTTGGGAAAATCTTAACAACCCTTCTTTGGCCAGGCACAGTGGCTCACACCCATAATCCTGGCACTTTGGGAGGCTGAGGCGGGAGAATCACTTGAGACCAGAGTTCAAGATCAGCCCGAACAAAATGGCCAGACCCCATCTCTACAAAAAATTTAAAAATTAGCCAGGTGTGGTGGCATGAGCCTATAGTCCCAGCTACTCGGGAGGCTAAGCCAGGAGGATCACTTGAGCCTAGGAGTTCGAGGCTGCAGTGAGCCATGACTATGCCACTGCTCTCCAGCCTGGGTGACAGAGCGAGACCCTGTCTCAAAACAAAACAAAACAAAAACCCTACTTCAACATCTGAAAATGGTCTTCAGTCCACAGTAATAAAAAAAAACAAAAAACAAACAAACAAAAAAAACCTTTTGAAATTAAGTATTTGACAGATTCAAAATTAAGGCAGCTTTTTTTTTTTTTTTTTTTTTTTGAGACAGGGTCTCACTCTGTTGCCCAGACTGGAGTGCAGTGGCATGATCATAGCTCACTGCAGCCTTGAACTCCCAGGGTCAATCGATCCTCCTGCCTCAGCCTCCTGGGTAACTAGTTCTATAAGCATGCACTACCATGCTTGGCTAGGCATCTTCCTACTTTTATTAAATCTGTTGGTTTGAAGTTCACTTAGCAAGAACACAAATGTGTTTCCCCAAGGCTTCACACAGTCTCCCTCTATCACTTTCTGGTTTTATTCACACCTTTTGAGTTCCTCATTATGGCTTTATAAACAGCCTGATTCATGGGTAAATGAAGACGTGTCTGACAAGTACTTGAAACATGGCTTATATGATTTTGGTGCTTTTCTTTTTCATGAAATTTTCAGGTGGAAAAGTTGACAGTCTGCTTTTAATTCATCCTTCTATAACGTAAAGAATTTCCAAATAGACTGCTTTCATGTAAGACTCATGGTCTATATGCAATTAAAATAATGAAAATTTTAGAAAGGAAAAAGTCTGGAAGAAAACGCACCCAGCTGCTCAGCGCCATCTCTGTGATGGCGCCGCAGGCACTGTGCCTTCCTAATGCCATGCTTGTGTTTTCAGCATGCTTACTTTGGAAAACTGATGATTTTATATTGTTTTTCCAATCAACAAAAAAGAAAAGTTCTATTTAAAAAACCAAACGAGGAAAAACCCATTTAAGTGAACATAACAATCCTACATATTCACACTTACAGGAAGAAGGAAAAGGCAAGTTAACAGCAAACTGAGAGCTTTAGATGCACGCATTAGAAAACTAAAAAGGATAAAAATCATAATACTTATCAAACATTCATCACTAATTTATAGAAAACAGCAAAATAAACCCCCCCAAAATCGAAGAAAAATAACTAAAAGCACCCGGGCGCAGTGGCTCATGCCTGTAATCCCAGTATTTTGGGAGGCCGAGGCAGGCGGATCACAAGGTCAGGAGTTCGAGACCAGCCTGGCCAATATGGTGAAACCCCGTCTCTACTAAAAATACAAAAATTAGCCTGGTGTGGTGGTGCACACCTGTAGTCCCAGCTACTTGGGAGGCTAAGGCAGGAGAACTGCTTGAAACTGGGAGGTGGAGGTTGCAGTGAGCTGAGATGGCGTCACTACACTCCAGCCTAGGTGACACAGCGAGACTCTGTCTCAAAAATAAATAAATAAATAAATAAATAAATAAATAAATGTAACAATGAAACAGAAAACAAGTGTATAATCAAGGGTGATCAACAAAGACAAAGCTGTTCAGTAAATAAACAGTAAAACTGACAAATGCTTAGCAAGAATAACAAAGAAAAAAAAGACAGAGAAGCAGGCCAGGCACAGTAGCTCACGCCTGTAATCCCAGCACTTTGGGAGGTCAAGGAGGGTGGATCACTTGAGGTCAGGAGTTCAAGACCAGCCAGGCCAACATTGGTGAAACCCTGTATCTACTAAAAATACAAAAATTGGCCAGAAGTAGCTTGAACCCGGGAGGTGAAGGTTGCAGTAAGCTGAGATTGTGCCACTGCACTCTAGCCTGGGCAACACGCGAGACTCTGTCTCAAAAAAAAAAAAAAAAAAAAAGAAGCACGAGTTACCAGCATTAAGAATGAAAAAGGGGACATTAGCAGTTTATAGACAGATTAAGAGATTATGAAAAAATACTGTCATAGGATAGACAGAGGTCAATGGGATAGGATTAAGAGTCCAGAAGTTAACTTACAATTGATTTTCAACAGGGTACCAAAACAATTTGATGGGGAAAGATCATCTTTTCAACAAATAGTACTGACAACTGTATCTGCACATGCGAGAGAATCAAGGTGGACCCTTGTGCAGGAAAGGGTTAACTCAGCAGGCTGGGGAGAATGAAACTCCGCACATCCCCAAGAAAGGCCCATCTTCAGGACTGGCTGAAGTCATCCCAGGAACCAGCTCTGAACCTTGGGAGTGTCCTGCCTAGAGATTATGTTTTTGTGTGCCTGGGGCCCCGGGCCTACTGCTGTACCAGTCTGATCAGTCTCTGCTAACAAGGTGACTAATAGTGACCTCCTGTGTGTGTTTTGAGGACCTAGAGTCTGAGTAGCCAAGGTCAGCCACGTGACTGGCCCCCAGTAAAAACCCAGGACCCCAAGGCTCTGGGGAGCTGCCCTGGTGAGCCACAATTTGTGTGTGCTGTCACACATCATCGCTGGGAGAAATAAGCACGTCCCGTGCAATTCCACTAGCAGGCACAGCTGGAAGTTTACACCTGTCTTCTCTGGACTCCACTCCTGTGCCTTTTCCCTTTGCTGATCTGACTCTGTCTTTTGGCTGCAAGGAGTCATAACCTTCAGTGCAACAACTACCAAGCCCTGTGAGTCCTCCCAGCCAGTCAGGGGGATGGAGGGTGGTCTGGAGGGCCCCTCACACAACCTTGTCAAACGCTGTATAAAAATCCACTCAAAATGGATCATATATTTAAATTAGGTTTAAGTTAGGAGCTAAAACTATAAAACTTTTAGAAGAGGCTGGGCGTGGCGGCTCATGCCTGTAATCCTACCACTTTGGGAGGCAAAGGCGGGTAGATCACCTGAGGTGAGGGGTTCAGGACCAGCCTGGCCAACATGGTGAAACCCTGTCTCTACTAAAAATGCAAAAATTAGCTGGGTGTGGTGGCGCACACCTGTAATCCCAGCTACTTGGGAGGCTGAAGCAGGAGAATTGCTTGAACCTGGGAGGCAGAAGTTGCAGTGAGCTGAGATCATGCCACTGCACTCCAGCCTGGGTGACAGAGCAAGACTCTGTCTCAAAAAAGAAAAAAAAAAAAGACTTTTAGAAGGAAACACAGGAGTAAATCATCATGACCTGGGTTACACAATGATTTCTTATATATGACACCAAAAGCATAAGCAACGAAAGAAAAACAGATAAATCAAACATAATCAAAATTCAAACACTTTGTGTCTCAAAAGACTCCATTAAGAAACTAAAAGGACAATCATAGAATGGGAGAAGATACTGAAAATCCTATGGCTGTAAGGAACTGATATTTAGAATGTATAAGGAACTGTTACAACTCAATAATAAAAAAGATAACCTAATTAAAAATGGGCAAAGGATCTGAAGAGACATTTCTCCAAATAATGCACACAAATGGCCAACAAGCACATAAGAAGACGTTTAACATCCTTAGTTGTTAGAAAACCGCAAATCAAAAGCGCAATGAAATGAGATACCACCTCACACCCACTAGGATAGCTAGAATCAAAAAGACATACAATAACAAGTTTGGTGTGGATGTGGGGAAACTGGAGCCCTCACTTACTGCTGGTAAGAAGGAGAAATGGTGCTGCCACTATCTGGTAGTTCCTCAAAAGCTAAATGTGCTGTTATGATCCAGTAATTGCATTTCTAGCTATACAATCAAAAGAAATGAAAACCAGCATCTACACAAAAACCCGCACATGAAAGCTCATAGAGGCTGGGCATGGTGGCTCACCTCTAATCCCAGTGCTTTGGGAAGTCAAAGCAGGAGGATCACTTGAGCTCAGGAGTTCAAGACCAGACTAGGCAACACAGTGAGACCCCATCTCTACAAAAAATTTAAAAATTAGTCAGGCATGGTGGTTTGTGCCTGTGGTCCTAGCTACTTGGGAGGCTGGGGAGGGAGGATTGTCTGAGCCCAGAAGATTGAGGCTGCAATAAGCCATAATCCTGCCACTGCACTCCAGTTGGGTGACAGAGTGAGACCTTGTCTCCAAAAAAAAAAAAAAAAAAAAAAACAAGAAAAAGAAGTTCTCAGCAACTTCATAGTAGTGAAAAGGTAGAAATAACCCAAATGTCTATCATCTGATGGATGGATAAATACAATGTAACATATCCATGTAATGCAATATTATTCAGCAATAAACAGAACAAAACAGTGATACCTGTGTGAATCTTGAAAATTATGCTAAGTGGCCTGGCACGGTAGCTCACGCCTGTAATCCTGGCACTTTGGAAGCCCAAGGCAGGCGGATTACCTGAGGTCAGGAGTTTGAGACCAGCCCGGCCAACATGGTGAAACCTTGTCTCTACTATAAATACAAAAATTAGCCGGGCGTGGTGGTGGGTGCCTGTAATCCCAGCTACTCTGGAGACTGAGGCACAAGAATTGCTTGAACCCGGGAGGGAGAAGTTGCAGTAAGCTGAGATCACGCCACTGCCCTCTAGCCTGGGTGACAGAGCAAGGCTCCATCTTAAGAAAAATAAAAGGAAAATTATGCTAAGTGAAAATTATGCTTTGTGAAAGCCAGTCACAAAGGGCCACATATGGTATGATCTACTCATATGAAATGCCCAGAGCAGGCAAATCTACAGGGTCAGAAAGCAGAGTGGTGGCTGCATACGGTTGAGGGAGGGAAGAATGAAGGGTGGCTGATAATGGGCTGGCATTTATATTTGTTCTAAATTTGATTGTGACTGTACAACTCTGTGAATGTGCTGAAAGCATTGACTTTTACACTTCAAATGGGTGAACTGTATGGTTATGTGAAAAAAAAGCTTCTACCAAAATAAGATGAGAATTTACTATGAAAAACCTTATGTCAAAAAATCAGAAAATTTTGGCTGGGCGCAGTGGCTCACACCTGCAATCCCAGCACTTTCGGAGGCTGAGGCGGGTGGATTGCTTGAGCTCAGGAGTTTGAGACGAACCCGGGCAACTTGGTGACACCCCATCTCTACCAAAAATATAAAAATTAGCCAGGTGTGGTGGCATGCACCTATAGTTTCAGCTAATGGGGAGGCTGAGGTGGGAGGATTGCTTGAGTCCAGGAGGCTGAGGCCAAAACAGTGGTTTTTAACATTTTTATTACTTTTCACTGTTGTAGTGTTATTTTTTCTTTCTGAACATTTTTGACCCAAGGTTGGTTCATGGAGGTGGAACCCAAGAACACTGAGGGCCAACTGTATGAGACTTCTGTCAATTCTCCTGTCATGATCCATAGGATTGTTCATATCCTGATTAAAATCCTCACTGTGGGATGGGAAAAGCTGATTCTAAAATGAATATGAAACTACAGTGGGGAAGAATAGCCAAGGAAGTCTAGGAGACAGAAAGACGTGCTTTCTCATACACGGTAGATGACTACAAAGCTACAGAGTGGTGCTGGGATACCGACAGCAACTGACACTGGGTTAGAGCAGAGCAGAAACACAGCCACACATGCATTGTCACGTGACCAGCTACAAAGGTGGCAGCGTGAGGGTTGGACGGAATTGTTTCAAAAATGAATTTCAGGTGAATTTCGCATCTCAGTGTGAAAGCAGAGTGAAGTATCCAGAAAGCAATGCAGAATACCTTCACGACCTGAGAGTATGCAAAGATTTCTCAAACAGCACAGGAAAAGCACAGCTATGAAAGAAAAGATACCAGTTGATGCTGGAATGAAGAGCTGCCCATGGAAAGGCTCACGAGGGGAGTGCAGCGCCTGCCTCACAGGAGAGCAAGACAGCTCTTCTCTCTCAGCAGGGGCCACATCTCTTTCACCTCCCTTCCCCGCACCCGACACTGCTCTCCATCCAGACGCAGGTCCAGGAGTCCAGATTCGCACCCAGGGAGCTTCAGTGCAGACCCAGGACCGACAACCACTGTTTCTCTAATGCGTTCTACTCTGACTACTCTGCCAGATGGAAAGGGGTGCCCACACAGAAGCAATGAGTAAACAGGCAGTTTTGTTCATGTTTTTGCTTTTGACAGAGAAGATGGTGTGAAGCTAGAGCGACATGAGGAAGAGCGAGCGGCCGAGCATCCTCACCTCCACTAGGGCAAACTTCTCCTCGCTGGTGTAGTTGTAGCGCGTGGCACGCTCGTACTCTTCAGCGCTGTCGGGGCAGTCCTTGTTGGAGTACTTGTCGGTGGGGTGCACAAGCTTCCAGGAATACTGTGGTGGCCGAAAGAGCAGAGGTGTTCCATATTGCATGCAAAACGCCTGGCTTCTGGTCTGACTCACACGATGGTGGCCAAAGCCAGGCCAGCCTTCAAACCTTTGCTGCATTCTGAAAGTCACACATGAGGGCGCACACACCGTCCATCTCCACAGATGGGCAAAAGACCCTGGCCCTGTAACCTCTCGTTTAAAAAATCTACCCGGCAAAATGGCCTGGATAGTGAGTGCTGAGTATCTAAGACTCTGGCATTTCATCATCATTTTAAAAAGGATTCTGGGCCAGGCACAGTGGCTCATGCCTATGACCCCAGCACTTGGGAGGTTGAGGCAGGAGGATCACTTGAGCCCAAGAGTTCAAGATCAGCCTGAGCAATATAGTGAGGCCTCATCTCTACAAAAAATAAAATAATAAGTAAGTAAATAAAGATTTTGCCTTTCAAATGACCATGTACTCTTCCAATTTGATAATTTTTATGTGATCAAAATAAATCACAAAAGGGAAAATCTTTCATTGCTTACAGGTATCCAAATCTTTATATGGCACCAGAAATAATTTACTAATGTTCAACAAAAGACATTGATGGCTGGAGCTCCAAAGAGAAAATGTTATCTTAAAAATGCAGGGCGTGAAGCGACATTAATGGGTACAAATGTACAGTCTGATATTAGAAATAAGACAGTGTTAGATAGATCAGTTAGGGTGACTATTAATTAAAATAATTTATGGTACATTTCAGAATAGATAGGGAAGAACTCGAATTTTTCTGGCATAAGGACAAATATTTATGGCGATGGACATCCCAAGCACACCAATTAGATCTTTGCAAACTGTATGACTGTATTAAATTATCACATGTATCCTGAAACTATGTACCCCTATTATGCATCAATACAAGTAAATATTTAAAGCAAAATAAAATTTAAATGAAAAAATGAGACTTGGCCAGGTACAGTGGCTCACGCCTGTAATCCCAGCACTTTGGAAGGCCCAGGCAGGCAGATGGCTTGAGGCCAGGAGTTTGAGACCAGCCTGGCCCACACGGCGAGACTGTCTGTACAAAAAAAACCAAAAAACAAAAAACTAGGCCAGGTGCGGTGGCTCAAGCCTGTAATCCTAGCACTTTGGGAGACTGAGGCGGGTAGTTCACCTGAGGTCAGGAGTTCAAGACCAGTGTGGCCAACATGGTGAAATACCATCTCTACTAAAAACACAAAAAAATTAGCCAGAAGTGGTGGTGGGCGCCTGTAATCCCAGCTAACTCAGGAGGCTGAGGCAGGAGAATCGCTTGAACCCAGGAGGCAGAGGTTGCAGTGAGCCGAGATCACGCCATTGCACTCCAGCCTGGGCAACAAGAGCGAAACTCCGTCTCAAAAAAAAAAAAAAAAAAAAAAAATTAGCCGGGAGCCGTGGTGCACACCTGTGGTCCCAGCAACTTGGGAGGCTGAGGCAGAAGGATCGCTTGGGGTGGGGAGTCAAGGCTGTAGGGACTTATGTTTGCACCACCGCACTCCAGCCTAAGCGACAGGGTGAGACTATCTCAAAAAAAGAACGACTTAAAGAAAATCACAATGGTACAAATTTAATTCTATCAAGATTTTTTTTAAAAAGGAGGCCCTTCATTTATTACACACATAAATGAGATGTACTTAAAATCACCTTGGAAACATATCTACTGATAGATATTCTCGTCTTTCTAGGGCCAAAGATAAAAAGCCCAAAGACCAAAAGTTAATGTGAATAAAGTGCCCGAGGCAGCTTTGGAGCGGGGCTGGGGTCGGGGACGGGGCCTACCACTTCCATCACGTGCGCGCTCCACTGCGACAACAGCTGCAGGCCCTGCAGCGCCAGGTCGAAGAGCTTGCGGTACTCCGCGTCCGTCTTCTGGGCCTCCTGGCGGCCCGAGCCCGTGACCACCTGCACAAGGCGGGCACGGCCCCGTGAGAAACCAGCGCCCCCACCCAGCTCCCCCCATCCCGGGATCCACCATGAGAATCCACCCCAAAGTCACACGTGTGAAAATAAGAAATGCAGGAGGCCAAGGCGGGCGGATCACAAGGTCGGGAGATCCAGACCATCCTAAAACGGTGAAACCCCGTCTCTACTGAAAAATACAAAAAAATTAGCTGGGCATGGTGGCGGGCACCTGTAGTCCCAGCTACTTCAGAGGCTGAGGCAGGAGAATGGCGTGAGCCCGGGAGGCGGAGCTTGCAGTGAGCCGACACTGCGCCACTGCACTCCAGCCTGGGCGACAGAGCGAGACTCCGTCTCAAAAAATAATAAATAAATAAATAAATAAATAAATAAATAAATAAATAAATAAAAAGAAAATAAGAAATGCTGTGGGTGCTGGACCCTCCTCCCGGGAAAATGGCGGCCAAGGGCGTGCTGCAGAGCACAGAGCAAGGGACAGGCCGCTGCCACAGCCACCGCCTGGGGGACCGCGGGCTGGGCGCGGGGCTGTTACACGCGTGGGCTTGGCGCACTTCCACTAGGCCGGGGAAGGGCAACACACAAGTCACGTGGGTTTGCTTCTATCAAATAACCACCCCCTAAATTTAAACATGTGACCTATGGGGAGGAAGGGGCACCGTGGAGAAGGCAGGCTTCTTTGAATATACCTTTTTATAGATGTGATATTAGAACCACACAAATATTTTATATATTTAGGACACAGAATTAAATGAGATCGGAAATGCAATGCCTAGAAGTCAAAAGCAAAATGAAACAATGGCGGGAACCTGCATGGAGCTCACAGCATGACCACTGAGAGGACCCTGAGCAGCTCTAAACACCACGGTGTGACTTAAAATCCTCTGAGTGAGGGGCCCGGTGCGATGGCTCATGCTGTAATCCCAGCACTTTGGGAGGCCGGGGCAGGTGGATTGCCTGAGGTCAGGAGTTCGAGATCAGCCTGGCCAACATAGTGAAACCCCATCTCTACCAAAAATATAAAAAAGTAGCTGGGCGTGGTGCTGCATGCCTGTAATCTCAGCTACTCGGGAAGCTGAGGCAGGAGAATTGCTAGAACCCAGGAGGCGAAGATTGCAGTGAGCCAAGATCCCGCCATCACACGCCATCCAGCCTGGGCAACAAGAGCGAAACTCCATCTCAAAAAAAAAAAAAAAAGTACCCTGAGTAAGAAGCTCAAGGGCAAAATCACCTGCAAAACAAATCATAAAACAATTTCTAGTCACTGTAATTAGTAGTGCTGGCATTGCTCTTTTAAGACTAGATTATGACCGGGTGCAATGGCTCATGCCTGTAATCCCAAAACTCTGGGAGGCTGAGGTGGGCGAATCACAAGGTCAAGAGATGGAGATCATCCTGGCCAACATGGTGAAACCCCGTCTCTACTAAAAATACAAAAATTAGCTAAGCATGGTGGCGTGCGCCTGTAGTCCCAGCTACTTGGGAGGCTGAGGCAGGAGAATTGCTTGAATCCGGGAGGTGGAAGTTGCAATGAGCCAAGATCACACCATTGCACTCCAGCCTGGGCAACAGAGAGAGACTCTGTCTCAAAAAAAAAAAAAAAAAAAAAAGGCCAGGCACGGTGGCTCACGCCTGTAATCCCAGCACTTTGGGAGGCCGAGACGGGCGGATCACGAGGTCAGGAGATCAAGACCATCCTGGCTAACACAGTGAAACCCCATCTCTACTAAAAATACAAAAAAATTAGCCGGGCGTGGTGGCGGGCGCCTGTAGTCCCAGCTACTCAGAAGGCTGAGGCAGGAGAATGGCGTGAACCTGGGAGGCGGAGCTTGCAGTGAGCCGAGATCGCGCCACTGCACTCCAGCCTGGGCAACAGAGCAAGACTCCACCTCAAAAACAAACAAAAAAAAGACTAGATTATGACATAATGACATAAATCAAATTATGCTGGCGTCATTCACCAGGATGTTCAGCTTTCAGAAAAAAGAAAATCAACAAACCTAAAGTCGAATCACTTTAAAATTGTACTCAGAGGCCGGGTGCGGTGGCTCATGCCTGTAATCCCAGCACTTTGGGAGGCCGAGACGGGTGGATCACCAGGTCAGGAGATTGAGACCATCCTGGCTAGAACAGTGTCTCTACTAAAAAAACACACAAAAAACACACACAAAAAAAAACACAAAAAAACACACACACAAAAATTAGCCGGGCGTAGTGGTGGGTGCCTGTAGTCCCAGCTACTCGGGAGGCTGAGGAAGGAGAATGGTGTGAACCTTGGCTTGCAGTGAGCCGAGATTGCACCACTGCACTCCAGCCTGGGCGACACAGCAAGACTCCGTCTCACCCAAAAAAAAAAAAAAAAAAAAAAACTGTACTCCGAAAAAAACTGATTTGTTACCTTAGACAATGCCAGAGAAACAATTACAGTCAGATGCCACCTAAGGATGCTCCAGTCAACAAGACCACACACATGATGGTGCTCCCATAAAATCTTAACGTAGTGGAAAAATTCCTACTGCCTAGTGATGTCCTGATGATCCTGACCCCGTGTAGGCCTAGGCTAATGTGTGTGTTTGGGTCTTCATTTTTAACGAAAAAGCTCAAAAGGAAAAAAACAAAAACTTTTTGGTAGAAAAATAATTTACAGAATAAGGAGATAAAGAAAAAATATTTTTGCACAGGTATAGAGTGTGTTTGTGTTTTAAGCAAAGTGTTGTTACAAAAGCCAAAAAGCTCTTTTTAAAAGTAAAAAGTTTATAAAGTAAAAAAGTTACAGTAAGCTAAGGCTAATTCGTTATTAAAGAAAGAAAAAGCCTTTTAAAAAATTTAGCACAGCCTAAGCACACAGTGTTCATAAAGGCCACAGCAGTGCACAGTACTGTCCTAGGCCTCCCACTCGCTCGCCACTCACTCACTGACTCACCCAGGACAGCCTCCTTGTCTGACATGCCCAAACGCTTGCCAGGGGTCTGTGTTAGAAGCAGCAGGTGCCCCAACATACCTGGACTACTGGGTTGTCAGTCAGTTTGGTTACATGATGATGACTGGTAACCATGGGGGGTGGGGGACAGGGTGCTCATCGTCCTGCAGTGGGTGGGGCCAACATCCACAGAGTTGTCCCCGCTAAGGTTAATGGTCCTCCTGAGACCCTTGAGGGACTAACCAGTTCAGCAAAGCAGCCTGCGTATATGCCCTAAAACCCGCAGTCCCTGCCAGCAATTTGCAGCACAGACATGCCAGCAGTGCTGGCTCGGAGTCAACCTGGGTGAGTGAGGAGAATGGGAGTGGCCAAAATGACAACATGGCAAACCCAGCTGCAAAGCTGGAAGGAACTAAAGAGAAAGCACCTGTTCTCTGCACCCAACTCCAGGCCCACCTCCTGGACACATGGACCCAATGCCCCTGGGACGTCTTCTGACAGCCACCCAGAGGCTCCTGCTCACCTCTGGCCTCAGGACTTCTTCCCTTCTAGGCTTACAGGGGCCCCAGGTCAGAATCACCCTTTCCTTTCCCAGTGTCCTCCCTTCTCTCCAACCATCTTTCGAGTTGCTTGGAATCACAGTACTAGACTAGGAAATGCCACTTAATCAATTAATTATCTCATCTCTGTCCTTTCTCTTGGGATCCCTATAATGTTTTTCTGAAAAAAAAAAAAAAAAAAAAAAAAGCTTTTTGTACAGCTGAACAGAGAGAACACTAGTTTCACTGCCTTGTCAATTATAATGGGTGCTTTTGAAGTACAGTCATGCACCACATTTGGTCAATGACAGCATATACAACGGTGGTCCCATAAGATTATAATACCATCTTTTCACTGTACCTTTTCTATGTTTAGATATGTTTAGATACACAAATACATACCATTGTGTTACAACTATCCAGAGTCTTCAGCACAGCAACGTGCTCCATAGGTGTGTGGCCTAGGAGCCATCCGCTGTACCCTGCAGCCTAGCTGTGCCACAGGCTGTACCATCCAGGCTAGCATGAGGACACGATGACGTTCCCACAATGATGAAACTGCCTAATGACACATTTGTCAGAACCTGTCCCTGTCATTATGTGACATATGATCGTATCTGGTAGTAAACTGTTTTTCAAAGCAATTAAACCTAAGATTTGGGTGCAAACACACACAGGCGACCCTCGGGTGCCTGTGCAGCTCCAGGTCGCGGGGCGCACCTCGCTGTTGCTGTAGCGCGCCAGCTCCGAAATGAAGCGCATGTGGTCCTCGCGGATCTGGATCATCTGCTCGCAGATGTTGTACTGAGGGCTGCTGCCGGAGGATGTGCACGTCCATCTGTGCAGAGAGAAAGCACCCGCGTTACCTGCGGAGGCGCCGGCAGGCCACAGCACTGGGGCAGCTCAGGACGCCTGTTTGGCACCAGAGCCACACAAATGGCTTTTATGTTTTTAAAGGGTTGTTTAAAAAAACAACACAGAAGCATATCCGAAGGAGACCACCTGTGGCCTGTAAAGCCTAAAATACTTGTTATGTGTCCTTTACTGAAAAGGTTTCTTGACCCCTGAGACTGAGATGCAACTTCGTTTGTCAAAATCATGGCTGAATGGTGACTGCAGGTTGGCTACGGGCACAGTGCTTGGCAAAAGTCAATGAAAGCCTCCCCTGAGGCTCAGATGGCTCTGTAGAGTCTGCAGTGGGGAGGAGTGCCTGCCAGCATCTGGAACTGTGCTGAGGATCTTTATAGTTCTTCACAGAGTAAGATGGTACACAGTTTAGGATTTAGGGCCACATTGTCTGCAGATGTCACATCTGACACACTGTCAGTCTCTTCTTTTTTTCTTTGAGGTAGGGTCTTGCTCTCTTGCCCAGGCTGGACTGCAGTGGTGCAATCTTGGTTCACTGCAACCTCCACCTCCTAGACTACTCAAGTGATCCTCCCACCTCAGCCTCCTGAGTAGCTGGGACTACAGGCGTGTGCCACCATGCCCGGCTAATTTTTGTATTTTTTCATACAGTCAAGGTCTCACTGTGTTGCCCAGGCTGGTCTCAAACTCCTGAGTTCAAGAGATCCATCCACCTCGGCCTCCCAAAGTGCTGGGATTACAGGCATGAGCCACCGCGCCCCACCCTCTTCTTTTTTTTTAAGACAACCTTTTTAAACATAAAGACTATCACCCAGCACTGTCCAATAGGAATCCCTAGGATGATGAAAGTGTTCTGTATCTGTGCTGTCCAACACAGTAGCCACTAACTATTGAACATTTCAAACGTGGCTGTCGTAAGGAAATTAAAATTTCAATTGTATTTTTCTTTCTTTTTTTTTTTTTGAGACGGAGTCTTGCTCTGTCGCCCAGGTTGGAGTGCAGTGGCGCGATCTCTGCTCACTGCAAGCTCCGCCTCCCAGGTTCATGCCATTCTCCTACCTCAGCCTCCCAAGTAGCTGGGACTACAGGCGCCCACCACCACGCCCGGCTAATTTTTTCTATTTTTAGTAGAGACGGGGTTTCACCGTGTTAGCTAGGATGGTCTCGATCTCCTGACCTCGTGATCCGCCCGCCTCGGCCTCCCAAAGTGCTGGGATTACAGGCGTGAGCCACCGCGCCCGGCCTCAATTGTATTTTTCAATAAACTTAAATGTAAATAGCCGCATGTGGCAAAGGCTGCAATACTGGACATTTAATTCCAGGCTGAGAATGTTAACAGTGTTATCTCTAGACAAATAAGCAGGATGTTTGAAAACCGCACAATGAGGACACTGCCGAAAGCTCAAACCAGGCAGCTTTCCTCTCCTCCTACCGAGATTTATTTTCCTCGTAGTGGGCGCTGGTCTTGATATATCTTGCCAGTTCTATTTGCATGTCCCCAAATAGCGGAACCACCTGGAGTTGCTGTATTCAAAGAACAAAAAAATAGAGTCATTATGTATATTTAGTCACCAAATACATAAGCACAAGGAAACTGACTAATGCTAATAATTACTTCGGCTTGAATGCTACCTCTGCAAATGATTCATTACAAAAAAAAAACTATAAGTAACTTCTACATTCGCTTTGAGAGGAACAAAATACAATTTAAAAACCAACATCTATAAAAACTATTCAAATGTTAAAATTAACCTACCATGTTGCTAGATCCACAGTCATAAAAAAAAAAAAATCACTGCATTTCTTTCTTTTTTTTTTTTTTTTTTTTTTTTTTTGAGACAGAGTCTCGCTCTGTCGCCCAGGCTGGAGTGCAGTGGCGTGATCTCGGCTCACTGCAAGCTCCACCTCCCAGGTTCACATCATTCTCCTGCCTCAGGCTCCCGAGTAGCTGGGACTACAGGCGCCCGCCACCACACCCAGCTAATTTTTTGTATTTTTAGTAGAGATGGGATTCACTGTGTTAGCCAGGATGGTCTCAATCTCCTGACCTCGTGATCTACCCACCTCAGCCTCCCAAAGTGCTGGGATTACAGGCGTGAACCACCGCACCCAGCCCTTTTTTTTTTTTTTTTTTTTTTTTTTTTGAGACAGTCTCACTCTGTTACTAGGCTGCGCTGCAGTGCAGTGGCGTGATCTTGGGTCACTGCAACCTCTACCTCCAGGGTTCAAGAGATTCTCCTGCCTCAGCCTCCCGAGGAGCTGGGACTACAGGCAACTGCCACCATGCCCAGCTAATTTTTTTGTATTTTTAGTAGAGACGGGTTTTCACCGTGTTAGCCAGGATGGTCTCGATCTCCTGACCTCGTGATCCACCCGCCTCGGCCTCCCAAAGTGCTGGGATTACAGGCATAAGCCACCGTGCCCAGCCAACTGCATTTCTATATACTAGCAACAATCAGAATACAAAAACTTAAAGAGAAATACTTTGCAACAGCATCCAAAAAAAAATGCATCAGTAAATCTAACAAAAAATGTGCAAGACCTCTAAACAAAAGTACTACCCCGAAAATTCTAGAAAAAGTTCTCAGTAAATGGAGAAATGATCATGTTTGTGCCTAGGAAGGCTTCAAATTTTTTAAATGTCCATTCTCTCAAAATAGATCTATAATCAATCCCAGTCAATATTCCAGAAGAAAAAAAATGGTTTTGGGGGGATAGTGTGTATAAATCAGGAAATCAATTCTAACGTGCATCTCCAAAGGTGAAGGGATGATATCTGAGACTATCCTGAAGGACAAAACTGGAAGACACACCCTTCCAGATTAGGAGTCTTGTTAGAAAGCTCCAACAATTAAGGCAGTGTGGCCCTGGAGCAGGGATGGAGGCTTGTGGACAGGACAGAGAACCTGGACAGAGCCACAGACAGATTCATGACCTTAGCAGCACTGCAGAACAATGGGCTTTGCAATAAATGGGCAGGCCCAACTGGGAAGCCATACTGGGAAAGATCCAAGGACACGAAACCCCTACCTCCTACCACGCGCAGAAGTCAGTTCCAGGGGGATTAGATCTAGGTGAAAAAGGAGACAGAATGCTTCTAGAAGCTAACACAGCAGAAACGTCTCATGAGCTGGATGGCTGCAAAGATTTATTTAGGTGGACATTAATGAAAAGATTCATATATGAGACTACATGAAAATGACAAACTTCTGTTCAGCAAATGACACCATCGAGAACGCGAAAAGGCTACTGGAGGCAGGAGGAGGAAGGGAATATACTGGTCAAAGCGTATAAAGTTTCAATTCCGCAGCATAGTTAAGTTCTGAAGACCTCATCTATGGCACAGTAGCTATGGTTAATAACAATGCATTGAATGCTTAAAATATGCTAAAAGAGTAGATCTTAAGTGTTCTCATCACAAAATAAAAAAAATGGTGTGTTAGGTAATGGACATGTTAAATTAGCTTGAATTCATCATTTCACAATGTGTATGTGTATCAAAACATCACATCATATACCATAAACATACAATTTTTACTTGTCAATTACACCTTGATAAAGCTGGGAAAAAGTGAAAGGGTAGGCCTCTTAGGGGAGAATACATGTATATTAAAATGTAAGGCCAGGTGCAGTGGCTCAGGCCTGTAATCTTGGCACTTTGAGAGGCCAGGGCTGGAGGACTGCTTGAGGCCAGGAGTTCGAGACCAGCCTGGGCAACATAGGGAGATCTCGTTGCTACTAAAAGTTTAAAAACTAGCCAAGCATGATGGTAAGCACCTGTAGTCCCAGCTACTTGAGAGGCTGGGGTGGGAGAAATCACCAAGGCCTGCTACACTCCAGCCTGGATGACAGAGCGAGGGCCTGTCTCAAAAACAAAACAAAACAAACAAACAAAAAAACTCACTTGTGTCCAACAAAGGACATGTATCCAGAATATATAAAGAACTGTAAATCAATAGGGAAAAAAGAGCAAAACACTTGAAGTGGCACATCACGAAGGGAACACGCTAATAACATGGAAAGCCATTAGGGAAACATGAACGAAACACTAGCCAATACAATGAAACACTAGCCAATACAATCTCAATGCTGTACGCATCCTCAGGATATCCCCCCACCCCAAAAAGGCAGTGCTAAGTACTGATGTGGCACCAGCGGCGCATTCTCTCACTGCTGATGGGAACGGAGATCAGGACAGCTGTGCTGGAGCGTCATCAGGCTGCAGGTAACTACTGACACTGAAAACAGATCAGGCCTGTGACCCCCGGTCCCTCTCCTGGGTATGCACCCAACAGAGGACAGTCGACCAGAGCTGCACTGTTTGGACGCGCCAAAACTTGGGAACATCCGAGAGCCCGCCAACATTGGAACGGATAAGTTACGGTGTAGTCATCAGATAGAAAACTACACCACAACCGAAAGCTACAAGCTGTAGCTACGGGCTTCCTCCAGGATGCACCTCACAAACAAGAGGCTGGTGACAGCAGCTGGACGCAGAAGAGTACAAATAGCACAATTCCATCTGTATAAAGCTCCACCCAGGCAAAACCAGCACAGGGCAAAAGGAAAGAGAAAGCGCGGTCACCTCTGCAGACGGGAGAACGTGCATGCCCCAGACTCCACCCAGCCCCAGCGTTTCCTGATATAGATCACAGTCACACAGGGGCTCACTTCCCCAAAATTCAAAGTGCACACAAATCAATAAAAACATTGATCTAAAAACATGTAACTCACCTTGAAGTACTTGTCGATTTTGGATAAGTTTATTCTTTTCTTGGCATCCAACTTATAGATGTTACTGACACTCCCATCCATCAGGTACAGACCAAATCCCATGACCTGAAAAGCCACAAAATGAATGATGCGACAAAGCTCAGAACTGAGAATTTCACTACCCATAAGGACTTACACTGTTACAGCTGATGACTTTGAAGGCACAATTTGAAATAGATCACAAAGATCTATCTTTAGGCTGCTTGTCTGGTGCTTGAAATGCATCATTTTATCCTCAGTGAAACTGGGATACAAAGCGGGGCTGGGCTTCCAGGTCAGTCGCTAAAAGCGGAAAAAACAAATCCTCTCCCCTAGCCTAACCCAAGCGGTAGGGATATTCTAGAGCTACTAAGCTGGTGCAAAAGTAATTGCGTTTTTTTTGCCATTAAAAGTAATGTCCAATATGCAGCCACATGTAACCAGTTAAGTTTCGGTGTATGCAAACTAAAAATTCTTTTTTTGTTTTTTTTTTTTGAGATGGAGTCTGGCTCTGTCACCCGGGCTGGAGTGCAGTGGTGCCATCTCAGCTCACTGCAACCTCTGCCTCCCAGGTTCAAGCGATTCTCCTGCCTCAGCCTCCCAAGTAGCTGGGATTACAGGCGCCCATGACCACCACGCCTGGCTAATTTTTTTTGTATTTTTAGTAGAGATGGGGTTTCACCATGTTGGTCAGGCTGGTGTAAAACTCCTGACCTCAAGTGATCCACCCACCTCAACTCCCAAAGTGCTGGGATTACAGGCATGAGCCACCGTGCCCAGTCACAAACTAAAAATTCTTAACGTGGACTAGCCACCTGCATGCTCCAGTGCTCCGCAGGGGCTCATGGCCAGGGCTCCCACACCAGCCGGTGCAGACACAACGTTTCTGCTGTCACAAAGCACTCCGTGGACAGTGCTCCCCTGCTCAGGAGGAGTCTGGGGGCTGGGCTGGTGGGACACCCAGCAAAGGGTCCCCCAAGGCCACCCTGCAGAGGTGGAGAAGAGAGCAAAGGGAACAGCCGAACTGCCGCCCATCTTTCCCATGAGAAACACAGATGGAAAGCTTCCTAATTTGAACAGAATAATAAAGAATATGGTGAACCAACAAAAGGCTACTTTAATTATGTGACACAAGGTATCAAAGTCCTAGGAATCACATGCTTGACAAGTAGAATCTTGGATAACTTCTGTCACAAAGCTGGCGGGGCATGGTGGCTTATGCCTGTAATCCTAGCACTTTGCGGGGGACAAGGCAAGAAGATTGCTTGAGCCCAGGAGTTCAAGGTCAGCCAGGGCAACAAAGTGAGATCTCATATCTACAAAAATTCAAAAACTTAGCTGGGCATTGGTGCAAGTGCCTGTGGTCCCAGTTACTCAGGAGCCTGAGGCAGAAAGATCACTTGAGCCAAGGAGGTCAAGGCTATAGTGAGCTGTGTCCGCACCATTGCACTGGAGCCTGGGTGAAAGAGCAAAGCCCTGTCTCAAAAATAAAAAAAAAATAAAAAGGGCAGTGGCTCAAGCTTGTATTCACAGAGCTTTGGGAGGCTGAGGCAGGAGGGTCCCTTGAGCCCAGGAGTTTGAGAACAGCCTGTACAACATGGCAAGATTCTCTCTCTACAAAAAATTTAAAAATTAGCGAGGCATGGTGGCGTGCACCTGTAGTCCCAGCTACTTAGGAGGCTGAGGTGGGAGGATCACTTGAGCCCAGGAGGTTGAGGCTATATTGGGCTGTGATTGTGCCACTGCACTCCAGCCTGGGCAAGAGCAACACCCTGCCTTGAGAATAAAACGAAAAGCAGCTTAAAAAAAAAAAAAAAAAAAAAAAAAGCTGAGAATCCTTGACCCGGACCTCCTGGCCAGCACCTTCTCCCAGGGTCAGTGTGTGACACACTCATGGGGTGTGTTGAGAGCCTGTTGTGCAGGCTGTGTGCAAGGGCAGGACGCTGTTCACACATGACAGCATGCAAATAAGACACAGCTGTCAAAAGGATTCTAGATAAAGCACAGCCTATTGACAAGAGTAAGGCTGTCCCTCGGCAGTGCCACGGGCTAGCGTCCCCACACACGTACTTTGAGAAGCATGTGTTTCTCACTGGGCGTCAAATACATCCTGTTCTCGTAGTAATCCACACACAGATTCACAATATCTGCCAGGAGCTCTTCGTAGCCAGAAATCACTTCGAGCTGCTGCTGCAGAGACTGAAACACAGAGCAAGAGACTCATGCATGGGCCCGGCGCCCGGCCGGCTGCTTGGCCCATCAACCTGAGTGTGCAAACACCAGCCTTACCTGTGTGATCTTGTTATGATTGGCCAGGAACATGGACAGATTCTGCGATTCCTGGATGGACTGTGGATCTGCCATTTTACGTAAAAACTGAGCGGCCCTTTGAAAACAAAAAGAATTCATCCCAAAATGCACCAACGTGCCACATTTAAAAAAAAAAAAAAAAAAAAAAAAGCCTGGTTCGAGTGGGATCCCTTTCCCCTACAGTCATCTGCAGAAATGTGGGTCAATCTCAGAAGCCACCTATGATTTCAGCCTTTTCAGGCGTCTCTGGCCCTGCACTCCAGGTCAGTCTTCTGCCAACTTAGACGTGTCTTGCACAGGCTGGGACAGCTCTCCACCCGGCTGGTCACAGCTGACGGCTCCCTGCAGGGTCCCTGCACACTGGTCTCTGCCCTATACTGGTGGACGCCCACCTCATCTAGGGGGCACAGGGCTCCTGGACCCCGAGTCTGAGAAGGGCCACTGCCATCTCCGTGACTCCCACAAGCCCTGCCATGAAGCCGGCCAGCACTGCTGAGGTTCTCTGCTGGGAACCCTCTGGACCACACCTCCCCAGGCCACCTCAGGGACCACTGGTGTCCAAGGTCCTGAGACAGAGCCCTGGCCTGCCACCAATTTGTAGCTACACCCGTACGTGAGGCCCAACAATACAATACTGCAAGGCCATGCTAAGCCTGCGAGGTCTGGCAGGGCAGGGTGAAGGTGGGGGTGTGAGGATTCTGATCATCTAGGACTGTCCCGCAAGAAAGTTCAGTGGAAACGGCCCACATAAGGATAGGTCTGTGCAACCCAGAACCTTGGGGGTTTAGTTTTAAGAGTTACCAAGGCAAAGGCTGATAACCTACACCAACATTCACTTCCTCCCCTTCCTCCTTAGGAACGAGCCCTGCATTTCTGTGGAACACACATTCCAGGGAGCCCCACACATTCCGTGTGCCTCGCCCACCCTGCAGCTAGCTGTGGCCAAGTGACCAAGGACTAGGCCATGAGATATAATGCAAGATACTGACAAGCACTCAAAGTTTACTCATGAGGAAGCATGGAGCCCATCTTTCCCCACTTTCTGCCTGCTGACTGGAATGGAGAAATGACAGCTGGAGCTTAAGCAACCATTTAGGACCAGGAGGCAACACCTGAAGCGGAGCCGCAGGACCACAGGAGCCCTGGGTCCCGTAGAGCCTCGATCAGCTGCAGACCACCCAATTCAGGACTTTTCAGGAGACAGAGAAATAAACTGCAATCTTTTTAAAGCCACTGTTATTTATCTGGGCTTTAAATAATTGCATACAGTTAAACGTAATATTAACTGATACAGTAACATTCCTTGCCTTTTTAAACATGTTTCCAGGGCGGGGCATGGTGGCTCATGCCAGTAATCCCAGCATTTTGGGAGAAGGAGGCAGGCAAATCACTTGAGTCAGGCGTTCAACACCAGCCTGGCCAACATGGTGAAACCCCATCTCTACTAAAAATATAAAAATTAGCCCGGTGTGGTGGCTCACACCTGTAATCCCAACTACTCGGGAGGCTGAGACAGGAGAATTGCTTGAATCCAGGAGACGCAGAGGTTGCAGTGAGCCAAGATCGTGCCACCGCACTCCAGCCTGGGCCAGTGAGACTCTGTCTCAAAAAGAAAAAACCATGTTTCCTTTTTTTTTAAATAGACACAGGGTCTCACTCTGTCACCCAGGCTGGAATACAGTGGTACAATCACAGCTCACTGCAGCCTCTACCTCCTGGGCTCAAGTGATTCTCCAACCTCAGCGTCCCAAGTAGCTGGGACCACAGGTGCATGCCACCACACCCAGCTAGTTTTTTTTGCTCTTGTTTTTTTAGAGATGGGGTCTTGCTATGTTACCCAGACTGGTCTCAAATTCCTGGGCTCAAGTGATCCTTCTGCCTCAGCCTCTCAAGGTGCTGGGATTACAGGTGTGAGCCATCGCACCTGGCCATGTTTGCTTTATTGATTTGAGTAGCTGCTGAGGTGGCGGGTGGGGAGACTAAGGAAAGGGTCAAGGATACTGTTTTCTATTTTCCTCAAGCCTCACCATAACCATATGAGTTATCTTGGCATTGACACTTAAAAGAGGTTATACTAGTAGCCACGAGCAGGTGCCAAAAGAGCTAGATGCGTGTGTGTGTGGTGGGGGTCTTGGGAGGGGTGGGGGTGATGGTCTGGGAAGGTTAACCAACAGGGGTCCCAGATAGAGGTCAGAGGAAGAGGCAGCAGTAAGAGCTACGGAACTGCCCCAGGCCCACTCTTTGGTGCTCAGGGGAACCTGGAGGTGGTGAAGACGCTAGAGGGGAAACCCTCCTTCCCCCAGCTTTGCACACAGCAGCCCCATCTGTAAACTGTTTTACAGACTAGGCTTTAGAATAAAGGTGCTAGTGCTAAAAGGAAAAAAAAAACAACAACACACACACACAACTTTTAAATACTTTTAAATATTGAAAACCACCTCCCCCATTTCCCTGACAAAGCCAAAACGGCGGCTGAGAAGGCTGCTTAAAATCACACAGCTACTGGATTGGGCGGCTGGGACCAGGAGCCCACTCCGACCAGTGAGTCTCGATGCTAGATTCCCACAGATGCTGTTATCAAACAGGGACCCTTCAGACTTCTGCCCCAAGAGGGGCTCACAGGTCAACTCCAGAGACCTTTCTCTAGTTCTGAAGATCTAGACTTCTGTGCAGAGCTGATGATTTTAGGTGATAAATGGAACACTGCATTATTTCACATGAATGAGGCTTAAAATTCTGCCTGACCTAGCTTGACTCCTACTGCTGCCTCATTTTGTCCCAAGTGGGTTTTTAAAATAAAGACATAGCAACAGTTGTATGATTTAAAATGCAACATAACTAGAGCATATTCAGATGCAAAGTAAGGTCTCTTCGAATTTAATTTTAGAGCTAAGATGCCTTACTTAGCAGAGGAAATTGAAATTAGCATCTCATTCCAGCAAAACATGTCTTCAAAAGCACTGAGCACAGATGAAGCAGAGCAAGAGCATCAGGAGACAGCGTGCCAAGTGTCACCAAACGCCGGTCGGCAGCGTGCCAAGTGTCACCGAACGCCGGTCGGCAGCGCGCCGAGTGTCACCAAATGCCCATCGGCCACCCACTGCCCCACACTGCTCCAGAAGCACACACTGGGCCATGCCTGCCTCTTCCGCTCGTCTTGCCAGCCTCTCCAGAGGCTAGCTTCTCCAGAAGCTCTCTACATCCAGAAAGAAAACCACCAGGGAGAGGATCTGGAAGCGCAGTGTGACCACGAGACACCCTGTGACTGTGCACGGGCCACGTCTGCACATTGCTGGGATGGTGCTCATGTGCTGGGGACCCCCGCTGGCGAGTGACCGGCACCGAGGACTGCAGCCCCAACGCCCAAGGTAGGCTGCAGAGGCCACCTGCCCCCTTGCCAAGATGCTCCCTGAGCCAGATGCCTGTGCTCTGTGAGCTAGGCCTACATCTTGTGCATGTCTGTCTTCCCAGGGGCTCGAAGGTCCTCTGTGACATCTGAGGACAGCCAGGGCACGAAGAGCCTGCTCTAGCTGTGCAAAGCCACGATATGCACTTATCTGCTGGCTCCCCTCACCTTATCCCTCGAAGCAGGTGCTCACACAGCCCTGACACTGAGACGTAGCTGCTGCCTACCAGAAGTGACGACTTCAGCAAACAAAGACGCACACCTGCTGTGCACAAGGCAGGCCACTGAGCTGGGTGCTCTCGGGAGGGCCCGCAGTGCGCGAGGTGGGTGCTCACCTCTTGTACGCTGAGTGGTCGTTCTTCACACTGCACTTCATGTTCTTCAGCTCGTCCAGCACAGCGAACATGTTGATGAATTTGCCCAGTGTGATCAGGTAGGCTTCTGACACGAAGTCCTTCCTCCTCTCGGCATGGCACAGGCGCCTCACTTCCCCGCAGAAACGCTCAATGGCATTTCTCTGTGCAGAGGAAGCAGGAGGGCAGAAAGCTGCAGGTCAGTGAGGAGCCAAGCCCATGTCCCTCCTTCAAGCACCTGCAGTCACTGCTCCTCGATGAGAAACGATCTGCCCAGTGAGGCTCCAGGCCGAAGTGTTTACAATGTGGGCAACCAGACCCCTTCCTGAAAGCAGCTCCCACTGCCTGCTCTGCACCATCATTACTTGACTTGCACTTTACCAACTACATCACTAAAGTAACAAAATCTTGCTGATTATTCCAGCAAAATTACTGAGCAAAATGCTCCAATAAAACGCCTGTAAAATTCAGATGTTCTAACTTTCAGAAGTGAAAACTGGGAGAGATTTTTTTCCTCTTGGTAACTTTCAAGGTAAAACAAAAATTCATCTCCCAGTTAGTTCCATCTCCTCCCTTTGCTGAAGGACATCATCATAAAAAATCTGGATGTTTCCAAAATACTTCTTTAAAAAGCAGCAAGCCCCTTCCATGTGGCTACTTCTTGCCTAACCAAGGCCAGGGCGAGGACCACCAGGAATGGACAGTCAGGGTGAGGCTAACAGCAAGAAAATACCTGAAAGAGCAGACGAAAACAAAAGTACAAATTGGCCAGGCGTGGTGGCTCACACCTGTAATCTCAGCATTTTGGGAGGCCAAGATGGGCAGATCATCTGAGGTCAGGAGTTCAAAACCAGCTTGGCCAACATGGTGAAACCCTGTCTCCACTAAAAATACAAAAATTAGCTGGGCGTGGTGGCGGGCACCTGTAATCCCAGCTACTCAGGAAGCTGAGGCAGGAGAATCGCTTGAACCTGGGAGGCAGAGGTTGCAGTGAGCCGAGATCATGCCATTGCACTCTAGCCAGGGCGACAAAGCAAGACTCTGTCTCAAAAAAAAAAAAAAAAAAAAAAAGTACAAACTGGCAAAAAGTCAAAGCATTGTACTTGAAACTGACAGAAAGCAGGCTCCATGAAGGAAACATAAAATCACTCTCAGAGAAGAGAAGTGAACCACAAAAGGAGCGTTGATTCCGAAAGGGCATGAGGAACTTTAGACTGTCAAAGGCTTGGTCCCTTTTGTCTCAGAAACTGGTTGCTTTAATTTGCAGGCACTCTGTTCAGGGTGTTCACAGTGACAGTGATGGGTAGGAAGGGGTCAGCAACCCACCCCTCGGTGTTACACCCCCCCCAGATTATTTGCCATTTTACCTGGAAGTACATGAAATTCATCAGTTTTGTGACCTCAGGCTCCAGAACCTCCACGGTTTTCTCGTAGATTTCCACTCTGTTAGGCTGCTCGTTACATTTCACCTGGGAATAAAGGAACAAGGATGACATAAGAGGCTTTGATCCAGCCAGAAGCAGCCGCTGGGCTTCTAGAGCTAGTGATCCCGCCCTGCTGTGGGGTGAGAACTGGGAGGAGAGTGGGCCAGGCATGGCAGGGGCAGGGGTGTGGTGTGGCAGGGGCCTGGCAGGGTGTGGCTGGAGGGGAAGAGCCAGGCGAGCGTGGCACCTGTGGGATGGCCCGGGAGCAGCTCCTCCAGGTGTACAGCATGACAGCATATTCTTGGCCCTCCTCCAGCATCTCGTTCTGCAATGGAACACAGGGCAAATCAAAGGCAGGCGGGGGAACTAGCATGAAAAGCAGATGCCAGTTGCTAAAATCCAGACAAAGCGCCACAAACTATCCTAAGCACTGTGGCCTGTGTGCCAAGAGACGGCTGCCAGAAGCTAGTGACACTGAGGTGCGGCGCTGGGGGCCACAATGACCACCCAAAACACCCCATGGCTTCTGCAGGCGAGAGGGGTGTCAGTGACACGCAGGCATCTCTGAGGGGTGCCACAGGCGTTACACCTTGGCTCCACCCAGCCCTCAACAACCTGCTGGCCATGAGACCTGCAGTTAGGAACACAGAGGAAGGGCTCAGGGCAGACGCCCTGCCCGGTGTGAGCACACACAGGATCCCCATGGCCTCCTCACTGGCTCACAGGGCCTCCCGGTCCCAGAGAGGACTAGAGGCAGGGCTGCCAGCCCCGGGTGTGCAGGAGGAAAAGTTAGGAGCACGCCCACAGCACTTAAAATCTAGGTAGAGAGTCCATGGGAAGAGGACTGTCATCACTGCTGTAAAACTGCTTTTGCTTTCCACTCTTTAACATCGTTTCCTTTGGAAAAAATCAAATAGATGCTCTTAAATCTAGCCTTTATTTAGTGAGACGTTCATCACAGTATTTTTTTTTTTTTTTGAGACGAGTCTTGCTCTGTCCCCCAGGCTGGAGTGCAGTGGCACGATCTCAGCTCACTGCAACCTCTGCCTCCCGGGTTCAAGCAATTCTCTTGCCTCAGCCTCCTGAGTAGCTGGGATTACAGGTGTGCGCACCACCATGCCTGGTTAATTTTTGTATTTTTTTTTTTTTGTAGAGACAGGGTTTCACCATGTTGGCCAGGCTGGTCTCGAACTCCTGACCCTAGGTGATCCGCCCACTTTGGCCTCCCAAAATGCTGGGATTACAGGCGTGGGCCACTGCGCCCAGCCTACAGCATTTTTTTATTACACGACATAAAAGAGGAAGTCAATGCGCAAAAATAGTTGAATTGTGGACATTTACAAAATGGTTTACGTAGCCATTAAGGATTGCTTTCTCTAGCACATTTTCATGGCATGAAAATATTCTTGTCCAGGTGCAGTGGCTCAGGCTGTAATCCCAGTACTTTGGGAGGCTGGGCAGGCGGATTCCTTGAGTCCAGGAATTCAAGACCAACCTGGGCAACATGGTGAGACCTCGCCTCTACAAAAAACACAAAAAAGTAGATGGGCATGGTGGTGTGTGCCTGTAGTCCCAGCTACTCAGGAGGCAGAGGTGGGAGGATTGCTTGAACCCGGGAGGTTGAGGCTGCAGTGAGCCCTAATCACACCACTGCACTCTAGCCTGGGCAACCTGAGTGAGACCATCTCAAAAAAAAAAAAGAAAGAAAGAAAACCTGTTGATGAGACCATTAAAATGCAGAACTAGCTAGGTGTGGTGGCTCATGCCTGTAATCCCAGCACTTTGGGAGGCTAAGGTGGGCAGATCACTTGAGGTCAGGAATTCGAGACCAGCCCGACCAACATGGTGAAACCCTGTCTCTACTAAAAATGCACAAATTAGCTGGGCGTAGTGGTGGGCGCCAGTAGTCCCAGCTACTCGGGAGGCTGAGGCACAAGAACTGCTTGAACCTGGGAGGCGGAGGTTGCAGTGAACCAAGATCGCGCCACTGTACTCCAGCCTGGGTGGCAGAGCAAGACTCTGTCTCAAAAAAAAAGCAGAACTATAATAACAATGCAATTCATTTATAAATCTAAATCTCATATGGGCACATACCTGGTGTGTGTGGGTGCAGATCTGGAGAGGGAATGAGCATTAACAGGGCAGGTGCACCCTTGAAACGCTGACAAAGGTTTTCTCTGGGCCAGAGACATTGAATTTTCAGAACCAGCATGTATTGTTTTTACACTAAGAAAAGCAAAGACTGTCTTAAAAATATAAGGCATTTCATTCATTTTCTTCTCTTTTTCCTCACTGCATAGTCTATTGGGATAATACCAAAAAGTATACATCTGTCCTTCAAACACGCCCTTCTCTGCAGAGAGAAACAAAGACACACCGCAACATTACCATGCTAGAGTGGACGGTGGCTTGTTCAATGTATCTTGCGATGCCAGTAACAAATGCATTTCTGTCTTCAAAGTTAGTGTTGAAATTTGGCTGAAGGAAAGGAAGAGAAAAACATCATGTGGGGTCGGAGCACAGGCTGTACGCCCTGCAGCTGCTGGGCACCCACCTGGTAGAGCAGCGAGGATGGCGGGGGCTCGATGCAGGGCTGCTGGTCGGGCAGGGGCAGCTCCTCCAGGAGGTCCACGTTGGACAGCGCGTCCTCCAGAGTCACCTGGGCCGCCATCCTGGGCTGGAACAACACATAAGGACCCCTGTTCTGTGAGGAGAAGGAGGGGACACCCAACAAGCTTCGAGGTTGGGTACCCAGGCCTCTAACCCCTTCCCGCTCTCCCGAGGGCACCGGACATGGCTGACAGGGGCATGATCAGTCCTTGGGAGTTGCGTGTCTCTCTCAGGGCACGTGGGCCAGCAGGCTGGGAGGCCCTGTGCAGCTTATCCTTCCACACTCGCTGAGAACAGGCTCTCCTGGCCTCCAGGAGGGTCACAGTATGGGGCACATGGTTCCTGCCATCCTTCCCACCATGGGGGCCGCCGTCCTGAGTTGCTGGTGCTGAGGACTCTCTCGAGGGTCTGACGACCCCCTCAAAGTGCTGGAGGGGCAGCACCTCTCCAATGCCACATCTGCCCAGCAGAGCCTCCCTAAATGCAGCCACCTCCCAGGTGGTGCCTCCAAACACACTAGGGCCTGACATGGAAAAGACGAGCGCCCTGCCGCCCAACACCAGCTGTCTAGCTGCACAGACAGGCTGAGATTGCAAGGAGTATGGGGCTGCCGCAGGGGACAGAAAGTGCCACACCGCAGCTGGAGCAGAGGTGCAGAAATGAAGGCAGACATCGTCTAAACACACCTTCAGAGCCAGCTCCAGGGAGAGGGGGCAATCTGCCTTCTGCTGAATCTGCTCCAGTCTCAAGGGTACTCAGGAGGAGCTCTGCCCTGGGATGGGACCAGGGGCAGCTGAGCCACATTCTATGAAGGAAAGAGCAGCAGGTGGCCTGGAGGAGACACTGAACAGAAGGAGCCCCAAATCCCTCCTCCAGCACTGGCGCAGGCATGGAGGTGCACAGTGGAACGGGTAGTCAGTCCCACTGCACTGGCTGAGGGTGGAGAAGGGAAGCTCTCCAGGGACCCAGGAAGCCCCAGTGGCAGTGTGGAGAGGAAGCAGCTCAGAAGAGCCAGCCGACAAAATTGCTCATGAGCTTCAAGCCCATCCTCAAGCTGCAGGGGTGTGGATCTGATCCTCTTCACACCCCAAACCCTGAGACCACAGCCAGACAGCCACCAGCGGCACACAGGGGGCAGGTCCAAGTGGCAGTGCAGGAGGCTGTGAAGCCAGAATTGACATGGAGCTGCCACCCACTGAAGGCAAGTCAGAACCACAGCCCAAGTCTCCTCAGGGTGTTTGCTTTCTAAAATAAAAATATCAACATCCTCCTAGGATTTTAACAAGACCCAGATCTCATATCATAACATCCAACCATCCACTTACAGCCCAGATTACTCAGCACACAAAGAACGAGGAACGTATGGGCTCCTACAGGAAAAGAGAATCAACAGATGCCAAAATAACACAGGTGCTGCAATTATCCACCCGACTTTAAAGCAACTACTGTGCTATGAAATGCTCTAACGATTGTAACACTCCCAAACTGAATGAAAAAATGGAAATCAGCAAAAGGCAAACAAAACAAGATATAAAGAAGAACCAAATGGAAATTTCAAAACTAAAAGACACACTACTGAAATGTAAAAAAAAAAAAAAACCTCAGGAAAGATTCAGTGAACTTGAAGATAGAGCAATGTTAAGTTTTCTAATCTGAATACCAGAGAGAAAAAAAGATTGAAAAAATTTTGGGGATCTTCAGGACAAGAGAGAAGGTCTAACATCTGTGCCATGAGAGTGCAAAAGGAAAAGGGGAAACCAAGCAGTGATGAAAAACAGCTGAAAAAAATGACAGAAAACACCCTAAATTTGGAGAAAGTCTTTTGTCTACAGATTCAAGAAGCTCTATGGATCCCAAACAAGACAAACAAGAAATCCACACCCAGACACATCACGGTCAAACTGCTGAACACTAAAGATAAAGGAAAACAGATCTTGAAAACAGCAGGAGAAATGACGCTCAGCAGAGCACAGAGCAACAGTGGGAGGGCCGCGGATTCCCCCCGGGGACCAGGCAGGCCGGAGGGCGGGCACAATGTGCCTAAGCCTAAAGCGGGGACCAGGCGGGCCGGAAGGCGGGCACAATGCGCCTAAGCCTAAAGCGGGGAGGTGCCAACTTGGGATCCTCCCTCAAGATGGGAACGTGTCTTCCAGGAAGGAAGGTGAAGCCAGGACGTGGGCAGAGGAGGAAAACAAAGAGCATGCTGGCCAGCGGTACAGGCTGACAGGAAGGGAGGTGGAAGGAGGCATGGGCTACGAACCACAAAGCAGAGGCAGTAGGCAGGCTAAGCGGCGAGGGCGCAGGACACACAACGACCCCACAGCTCTTCCAAAGTGCTTGGCGGTTAAAAGCAAAAATCAAAGTACTGTCTAATGGGCCTTTCAGTGTACATAAATGTAAATTACACAAATACATAACAAGTAAATTATAAAATATTTCTAGGTATATAATTGTATAAATCATATAAACAAGACAACTGTAATCTAAAAGGGGGAGGGGAAACCTGGATGGGGTAAGATTTCTATGTCCCACTAGAAGTAGTAAAAAGCAGACTTTTCAGATCCTCAGCAGAATATGAAATGTTAATAAGCATGGACTTCGAAATCCTTAGAGCAACCACCGAAGAAAGCTGTACAGCCAGGCGCTGCAGTCCCAGCTACTTGGGAGGCTGAGAAGGGAGGATCACTTGAGTCCAGGAGTTCAAGGCCTGTCTGGGCAACACAGTGAAATCCTGCCTCTTTTAAAAAAAGAAAAATTAACATACTTTTTAAAAAAGCTATCCAAAGCAAAATAGATAACATATAATTTAGAATAAATTAAAACAGAATACTATGTTTTTAAAAACCTAAAAGGAAATAGAGCAATGATAAAGATAGTGATCTAACAGAAGTCAGATAATAAAATGGTAGACCTGAATCGAAACACATTGATAATTACACTATCATAATAATCTAAAAACACCAATTAGAAGAGGTTGTCAGAACAGATAAATAAAATCCTAACCCAACCATATGCCATCTACAAGAAACTTACTTCAAATATACTGATACAGGTAGGTAAGTCGAAAGCAAAAGGGGAAAAAGGTGAACCAGGCAAGCGCTGGCCAAAAGGAAGCTGGGGTGGCTTTGTCAGCACCAGACCCAGCCAGCCTCCGAGCAAGGAACTCATCAGAGAGAGAGAAGGAAGGGGTCAGCTCCCCAAGGAGCCAGAACAACCCTCAATGTGAATGCACCCGGCCAAAAAGCTTCCTTCACGTTACACTAGGCAAAAGCTGACAGAGCTGGAAGAAGAAATGCCATAGCCACCCCCGAATCTCAGTTTCACTTTCCACGATTTCAATGACCAGAGGTCAACTGCACTCCAAAAATATTAAACGGAAAACTCCATTCACAAACACTCCGTAAGTTTTAAACTGTGCGCTGTTCTGAGTAGGATGATAAACTCTCAGACCGTCCTGCTCCTCCCACCCAGGACACAAACCATCCCCTTGTCCAGCGTGTCCAAGCTGTATGTGCGACCCGCCTGTGAGCCACACAGTAGCCGGCTGGGTCGCCAGCATGGGACTGCAGCGGTATGGCCAGGCTGGTCAAGGTCAGCAGCGGCCTAAGGCTGCATTGCAATGCCTGCGCCGCCCATCTCACCGCCATCTCACGGCGGGCACCAAAGGGCAAGAGAGAGAGAGAGAGACCACGTTCACATAACTTTTATGACAGTATATTGTTACAACTGTTCTATTATTATTGTAATCTCTTACCGTGCCTAATTTACCAATTAAAGTTCGTCACTGGTATGCAAGTACGGAAAAACATAGACTACGCAGGGTTCAGTACAGTCTCCAGGCTCAGGCATCCACGCGGGGTGTTGGGCCGGTTCCACAGATACATGGAAACAATTGCAGGCCAATCCCCAATGGCGGCTGGAGACGCCACCCATTTTCTCAGGAACTGACTGGAAATGAGGGAGAACAGAGGCACCGGCCGCACCGCCAGCCACCTGGACCTCCCCGACACGTAAGGGAACGCCCCCGACCGCAGCCGGTCACTGCTGCATGTTCCTCACTAGAAATCTACATGTAGCAGAAACTCTCGTCCACTTCCCTCCACATCACAGCTTCCTGTTCCACACACCTCAGAAAGGAGCAGTGCAGGGCAGCCCCGGCCGGGTGGGTGCAGGGTCCAGCCCCAGCGCTGCCTGCAGAGCCAGCATGGGGGGCCTGCCCTTGGTGTCCACGCAGGCACCTCAGGGTGATGCCGCTCGGAGGGGCCAGGCTGCCTGAGGACGTGCTTCGGCCCCATAGGGGCTGCCCGTGTCCTGCGACTCCAGCCCAGAGTCCCGCAGTCTGCCCTTTCTGCGGCCTGAACCCAGATAGTGCCAGGAGAGGCCTGGGGGCGTGTCCAGTCATGCCCGGGCCCCACGCGGGTCAACAAGAAGACAGGTCGGACCGAGCACCCTGGGAAGCCACAGATCCCACATGGCAACAGCCCCTGACCCCGCGCAGCACCCACAGGGACTCGCCTTCCTCCCCGGCCTCTGCCCAGGAGAGGCCAAGATGACCCCATGGTGGAGGAAGGTGGGGAGGGGCGCCACAGACAGGCTCGGGGGAGAACTGCTCGTGCGTCAGCTGTGATCCACAGCAGGGACCACTGATGTCGAACCCACGGAAAAACGCCAGATGCGCAGCTTGTTGAACCCACGGAAAAACACCAGATAACGCAGCTTGTTGAACCCATGGAAAAACGCCAGATGCGCAGCTTGTTCCAAGCCAGTGCTTGCAGACTTCTTTCTTTGTATAAAAATAACAGTATTTATGTGGTCAGTGGAATGTTAGCCTTAAAAGAAAGGAAATTCTGACAAGTTACAACATGGTTGAACCTTAACGACCTTAGGCTAAGTGAAATACGCCAGTCACAAAAGAAAAAACGCCGCATGATTCCACTCATATAAATTACCTAAAGTGGTCAAACTCAGAGACAGAAAGGAGAACAGTGGTGACAGGGGCTGCGTGCTGGGCTGGGGAGTTGGTGTTTAGTGGATACAGAGTTTCGGCTTGGAAAGATGAAACGCTCTAGCTGGACAGTGGTGGTGGTTGCAGAATAAGGTGAAATGTACTTAACGCCACTGAGCTGTACACTTAAAATGGTGAAGATGGGGGAGGACGCGGTGGCTCCAGCCTATAATCCTGGCACTTCAGGAGGCCGAGGCGGGCGAATCACGAGGTCAGGAGTTCGAGACCAGCCTGGACAATATGGTGAAACGCCATCTCTACTAAAAATACAAAAAATTAGCTGGGCATAGTGACAGGTGCCTGTAATCCCAGCTACTCAGGAGGCTGAGGCAGGAGAATCACTTGAACCCAGGAGGCGGAGGTTGCAGTGAGCTGAGATCGCACCACTGCACTCCAACCCCAGCGACAGAGTGAGGTGAGACTCCATCTCAAAAAAAAAAAAAAAAGGTAAACATGGGGGTAAAGTTTATGTTATGCATGCATATTTTACTACAATCAAAAATAGCAATGTTTGATGCTGATTAATCAGAAAACATGGAAAAGGAAAAAGAAAACCTATCATCAATCATCCCACTGTCCCTTACAAAAACAAGATACTGTCATACAAACTGCTTTGTAAGCTCTTTCTTTCTCCCAGCTTCCACAAAATTTCTCAAGTCATCAGAGCACCGTGCGGAGTGCTGGCCAGGGCCCTGCTGTGGCAAACTGCTGTTCTCTCCTATTCTTCACATTTTCATATTTCAGGTTTTTCATGATCATAGGCAGCCCTCCCACATCCGCCTTGGTGTGTGATGCCAAGCAGCTGTCACCGCACGCACACGGCCTGGGCCCGGCCCGCTTCCAAGGGCTCTCCGTCCGTGCATCTTCCATAGATGCGAATCTGCACAGCTTCTGCCTCACCCTGTTAGGCGGACTTGGAGTAATCAGCTCTAAATCCAAGTCTCCAAGGTCTCAGCCCTGGCAGCGTGGGTGCAGGGTCTGGCCTGGGTGCCACCTACAGAGCCAGCGTGGGGGCCCTGGCGGTGTCCACTCCACACAGGCACATCAGAGCTCATGTCTCATCCCATCTTGTTCTCTGACTCCTCACAGTTCCACCTCCCAAAGCTCTTTCAAGTGCATTTACTTTGCTCCGTCTCTAACTGCCACCAGCGGACCCTGCACCCCACTGCTAGAGAACAAAGGCAATGCGTGACTCCAGCCGCCTGCACCCTGGGATTTTTTCCGGCCCTCCTTTTGTCCTCCCATGAATGCCACGTCCCACAGGGATTTTCCCCCAGCACCAGCATCCAGCACAGCCTCTAGTCTCCTTCTGTGTCTAAGAAGCCCCCATTCCCAGGCAGCAGCACCAGGTCTGGCCTGGTCACTGCAAAGCCAGTGTCCACTGCCCTTGGAATGGAGCCTCAGTTGTATCTGACCAGCCTTTATAAGTGGCTGCCACAGTGCAAATATCCAACAGCATAATTAAAGTCACGTATTTGGAACGGCATACAAACTGTTCTGCCGGTGCTACTAGCCAGCACTTTAGAGTTTAACAATAGGATCAGGGCCTGGTGCAGTGGCTCACGCCTGTAATCCCAGCACTTTGGGAGGCCGAGGCGGGTGGATCACGAAGTCAGGAGATCGAGACCATCCTGGCTAATACAGTGAAACTCCGTCTCTATTAAAAATACAAAAAAATTAGCCAGGCGTGGTGGCGGGCGCCTGTAGTCCCAGCTACTCGGGAGGCTGAGGCAGGAAAATGGCGTGAACCCGGGAGGCGGAGCTTGCAGTGAGCCAAGATCGCGCCACTGCACTCCAGCCTGGGTGACAGAGCGAAGACTGTCTCAAAAAAACAAAAACAAAAACAAAAACAATAGGATCGCATTTCTGTCTCTGCTCCTTCAGCTCGTGTGGACAGGTACATTGATGTCCACTGCTTGGGGCCTGATCAGAGCAGGGCAATGCGTGACCAGGCACAGAGGGAAGACCACGAGAGGACACAGAGAGAAGGTGGCCATTCACAAGAGAGGCCAACCCTGCTGGCCCCCTGATCTCAGACTCCCAGCTCCAGAACTGAGAGAAAGAAATTCCTGCCTGATCTGTGGTGTTTTGTTAATGGTAGCCCTGGCAAATGAACACAGAGCCAAGAACAGGTAGGACGGAGTCACCCAGGTGGGACGCAGATTCCCTGCGCTGTCTGCCAGGTAAGAACCCACACGAGCTGGTATTTTGCTGATCATGAAAATAATACGTGCTCCATGCAGAAAGAGCACACTGCTGGGAACAAAACAAGCCAGCCAGACCTGCATGAGCTCGGTCACAAGGCGCTACCATGCCACAGTTCCAGCTGCCTGTGCCCCCGGCCTCCCCAGGCGGCGAACCGACCCAAAAATAACATGCCCACCCTCGGTTTATGTCATTGAACAACATAAAGAGATGTTTTTTCCTTCCCTGACTGATTTTCTATCAGCAGCAGTTCTCAACCCTCATGTTTGATTCCAAATCCTATAGCTTGTCAAGATATAAAAATGAATTTAAATATGGTAGGGGAACTGCTGTTTTAATAAGCCATCAGTTCGTTTATTTTGTAAATTTAAGAGTTTTTAAAAATAAAGATTTCAAAGGAGGACATCATCATACTTGGCTGCTCTTCCAGTGATGTCCTCAGAGTCCCGGGTCAATCTCTGAGTGTCTCATGGGTCGGGATGCACCTCTGCTCTAGGCAGCTGCAGGGCAGTTTACAGAGTGAGCAACATCCACCGGGCGGTGGCAGACTGGCTCCGTGTCTGAGCTCACATCATGCTGCACACCTCACTCACCTGCTGGATCGTGGAACCCCAGATGGGCTTCAAGGGACCCACGGTGGGCAGGAGGCAAAGGTTCCCAGTGCCACCCACTTGAAGGGCAGTGCCTACAGGGCATGCTGGGGGCTCCATGGGTCCACCTCCTTTCTTCCACATGTCACTGGCTGCCCCTCAGCCTCAGATCCACACAGATGCAGTCTCAAGAAGTGGTCCTCACAGCTGCCTTAAGGTGGAGGCCACCCTGACACATTGGCAAATGAGTGGAGGGAGGCTGGATGGGGTCGCCAGCTGCCCCAGGGCCCACAGCCACAGAGCAAGGTTGAGAACCGCCCTGACCCAGTGCCGGGTGCCCACCCAGGGGGTCAAGGCCAGAGGCACAGAGGTACAGATGGCCACTTTCCAAGTGCGAGTGAGGTGCTGGAGACCGATTTAGGCCTGAGGGGCAGGACAGAGGCAGCATGGAGCTGGAGCCACAGACAGAGTTGCCCCGGCGTGGGCAGGCAGCAGGGGCTGGGGAGGCAGGGGAGCAGGGTCAAGGACCCTGCTGGCCCCAGCAGAGCCCTGAAGATGCTGGAGAAAGTTGGAGACAGCAGGCCAAGGGGCAAAGGCAAAGGAGGCATGCACCAGTGCTTCCACCAACTAGAAAACGGGCAGATCCGCCCAGGCTCCTGGTCTTTAACCCATCTAGATGTGGCCAGCCCTCGCCACACTCCCCCTGCAAGCTCACGGGCTCAGGGCATCAGCCAGTGCCTCCCCATGCTGCCCTTGGGGAACCCAGTTCCCAGAGAGACCCTGGACCTCACTTCTCCACACAGCAGACATCCCAGGAGATGGGAGGGTGATTTTTGTAAAACCTCACAATCATCACATGCTTCAAAACAAAGAACAGTGAATCAACAGAATTTTTTTTAAATGTGATTTGGGGCTGGGCACAGTGGCTCACTTCTCTAATCCCAGCACTTTGGGAGACCGAGGCTTGAGGTCAGGAGTTTGAGACCAGCCTGGCTAACATGGCGAAATACTTCCTCTACTAAAAATACAAAAATCAGCTGGGCATGGTGGTAGGTGCCTGTAATCCCAGCTACTTGGGAAACTGAGGCATGAGAATCACTTGAACCCAGGAGGCGGAGGTTGTAGTGAGCTGAGATCGCGCCACTGCACTCCAGCCTGGGCGACAGAGTGAGACTCTGTCTCAAAAAAAATAAATAAATATGATTTGGTCCTTTTCCCTGTGTCTGAGCAGCATGAGGGCAGGTGGCTGGGAAGAAAGAGATGTCTCTCGTGCTCAGCAGGCAGCTCAGTCAGTAGGTCATAACCCTGAGTCCTGGCATAACTCAACAGTCTTGAAAATGAAAAAAGACACTACTAGGCTGCAAAAACAAATGGAAATTAAAGCAGCCAAGACTAACTTTAACCTGGAAGCAGAGGTGGTGCCAAGAGATTAAAAGGGAAAAGGAAAAAAAAAGTTTGTATGTGTGAGTGTGTATGTGTGTGAGTGTGTGTGTCTTCAATAAGCCAGCATCCCTGGGAGAACACAGGCCCCGTGGGAAACCGGCCTTGGACACCAGACAAAACAAAGGAGTCAAACAAGTCAGGGGCTCTGGAGACGGGGCATCTCAGGGGAGGCTCGGGGCAGGTGGCCAGGAAGGGTGGGGGCTGGTAAAGGGGGAACGGGTGGCCACACCATCCAGATGGCCCCACGGCCCCACTGCCGCCCCGAGACAGCAGTGTGCATGCGGCCACTCTGGCCGGGCCCAGGCTCCCAAGATGCCAGCGAGCACACAGCAGAATGGTGGCTGCACACACAGGGACAACGTGCACTGCCCGCTCCAGCCAGCCCCTGGCCACGGAGGGACCTTGTATTTTACCACATTAGAGGATAAACTTTTGAGATGTATTTACTTCTCTTTCCACCCTAGGTCAAGAGGGAGCTTTTCACAGGGACCGAACAGTCATCTCTTTAGGTGTTAAAATAGAAACTGCCAAGACAGCTCAACACCAAGGTTGCAAAATGTGGAGAAGCCACAATCCAGAAAATGCAGAAGCGAAGGCGTCGGTGCCACGCAGGCGGCAGTGCTGTGGCAGGCGGCACGCCGACGCTAACTCCCGCCACTGCAGCCCGCACTGAGACAGGTGGAGAGATGCTTTGCTAGAAAGAGGGTCTTCCCAGCATTTCTAAACCAGTCATTTAAAAATTTTACAACTTGTGGCCGGGCACGGTGGCTCACGCCTGTAATCCCAGCACTCTGGGAGGCCGAGGCAGGCGGATCACGAGGTCAGGAGATCTAGACAATCCTGGCTAACACGGTGAAACCTCATCTCTACTAAAAATACAAAAAATTGGCCGGGCGCAGTGGCTCACACCTGTAATCCCAGCACTTTGGGAGGCCGAGGCAGGTGGATCACGAGGTCAGGAGATCAAGACCATCCTAGCTAACACGGTGAAACCCCACCTCTACTAAAAATACAAAAAATTAGCCAGGCATGGTGGCGGGCGCCTGTAGTGCCAGCTACTAGGGAGGCTGAGGCAGGAGAATGGCGTGAACCCAGGAGGCGGAGCTTGCAGTGAGCCGAGATCGTGTCACTGCACTCCAGCCTGGGCGACAGAGCAAGACTCCATCTCAAAAAACAAAAAATGTTACAACTTGTAAGCATTCCACTTGTCCAGCTAAACAGCATAATCAAACAAAGACAAACTATGAAATGTTTCTGCAAACGTGCACAAGGCATGAGCTGATTTTCTTCCTCTTCTATATGCAAAATGATGGCACTTCCCAGAAAAGTAGAAACTTCCAATATTTTTGTGCAAGCTGTTCATGTAAAATAGGCATAAAATAAATCATCTGAAGAAGAAAAGCATACTTTGCTGTCCCTTTCTCTCCCAGGTGTAGAAAGAATGTGCTCTTCTGTATTTGGAAGCAGGGGACCGCGCCAGCATGGCTGCAGCTGGTTTTCCCCAGGTTAAACGGCCTGACCGCACGGCTGCAGCACAGAAACAGGCTGTCATGACCAGCAAGGCAAACAGTGCATAGTTAAAAACCAATATAACATCTTCTAGACTAGCTTTATTACTGAAGTAATTTGCTTTTTTTTTTTTTTTGAAATGGAGTCTCGTTCTTGTCACCCGGGCTGGCGCAATCTCGGCTCACTGCAACCTCTGCCTCCCAGGTTCAAGCAATTTTCCTGCCTCAGCCTCTCAAGTAGCTGGGATTACAGGCACCCGCCACCACACCTGGCTAATTTTTGTATTTCTAATAGAGACGGGGTTTCACCATGTTGGTCAGGCTGGTTTTGAACTCCTGACCTCAGGTGATCTGCCTGCCTCGGCCTCTCCAAGTGCTGGGATTACAGGTGTGAGGTAATCTGCTTTCTTTAATGCACAAAAACTTCAAATTCCATCCTCAAAAGCGGCCACTCAAAACCAGCTCAAAAGAACAGCCTCATCAACAGAGAAACAGAAATCAAGTTTGAAAATCACAATGAGGTGCTGACATCTAAAACAGTGTGCCAAGGAACCCTGAAAGAGAGCACGTCTCCACGCCACATGGCCTCCGCCCCCCACCTTGGGGCTGCAGCCCCTTCGGCCAGGGTCAGGCTGCCTCTGGGAGGGGTCTCCCAAGACCAAGTGGTCTCACAACCTCCTAACATCGCCCTCCCCCAGGCTTCCCTCTGATCCCCCAGGCACCGCCAAACCTGCACTCACCTCTGCTTCTCTTCCTGTCACTCTCCTGCTCACGCTTTCACTGGCTCTCTCTGCCTACAGCTGTGGTTTTCAAACCATGCGCCATGAAACCCCAGAGTGCCCCAGGAGGGCAAGGGAGAGCAGTTCTGTCTTTATCTGTCAAATTTGTATGAAAAAAACTATTCGGATGCTAAAATAATTAATAAAAGGCAGAGATGGGGCCCAGTATTCCACAGAATAAAGTCTCAATCGCTCATAGAACACCCAAGGGCCTCCCTCCATCTCCCACACCCCTGGGCCATGGAGGACCCGCTGTGCCATCCACCAGTCCCACTGCCCCAGGTGGGGCCCTCAGGACAATGAGAACATGCACCTCAGCCCAGGGCTGGGCTACCAGGCACACAGATGAGCTCGGGGAAGCTCCATCAGCCCACCTGGCAGATGCCTGGGTTGGGTAGGGATCAGGCTGGTGGGAGGGGCTGTTTCTTTCCCACCTGTGTGCACCTGGGCAACACACAGACAGCATAAACAATTAAGGAGTGCTCCTCGACGACGGCCATTCCTTCATCTTTCACCCGAATCCAGTGCATGTTTAAAAGGCACAAAGGGAAGAAGACAGCGTTTCCCGCTCCACCTACTCTTTCTGTTAGGGCAGACCCACCATGGCGGTCTCCGGGAGGACAGTCACACCACAGAGGGGGCGCTCCCACGCTCAGGAGAAGAGTGGGGGTCCCCATTCACAGATGCCGACACTGAGCCCAGAGGGACAGGGAGCTGCCGCAGCCCCGTGGCTTGCCTCACGTGCCTCAGTGGCGTGGCCCGCATGGCCGGGCAGTCCCGCCTGCTCAGGAGGCCATGGGCTCGGCTGGGCACCAAGCATGACCTCGGGCGCTTGACAAAGCAATTCCACCGCTGGCCATTCTGGCTGGGGGCTCTCAGCCTGCTCTGATTCCTGCGGCTTGAAGGAAAGGGAACTGGCTGCCACCCACCTTGTCCCCCACCTTATCACTGTGCCCAACAGACCGTGTATCTGCTGGGTCCTGCGGCGCCCGGCTGAGGAACAGGCGCCACGGGCGATCGAGCCCCGTGCTCCCCCTCCCCACCAGCCTCTCAGGTTCTCCTCTCAGGGCCCAGGAGGGTGCAGGTTGATGACCAAAGGCTACACGGCAGCCACCAGATCATCTTCACCCAGCATCCACACCTCCTGATGTGCCTGTTCTTTTCCTGTCTCTCCCTCCCCTGTAAGGACCTGAATCCCCGAATCCCCACGTGGCTGGCCTGGATGTGGCCTGGCCCTGCCAGGGTCTGGCATAGCCCAGTAGCAGCCCAGCCCTTCTCCTGCACCAAGTGCACCCACGAGGAGCTGCAGGCTCCCCTACTGCGCCTGGCCTGTGGGCCGAGTGTCTCCCGGGCTCCACCACTGTGCCCAGCCCGTGGGCAGAGTGTCTCCTGGGATCCCCTACTGCCTCCAGCCTGAGGTCAAGCCCATGACCTTAGCTACCACCTACACTACACCTCACTCGCCAATCTCTATCAAGGGTCCTGCTGTCAAGACACTTGGGCTGGAAACACCAGCATCAACCTCACCAGCTTCCTCCACATGCACCAAGACACCTCACAGGTCCCACGCAGTGGGGTGGTCTGTGCCTTCGGGTGCCCCATTTCAGCGGGCTCGTGCTCTGGGATGTCCCAGGCACCTTGCCGGAGACGTCCTGCAGAGACAGGAGCTCCATAAGCAGGCGGTGCCACAGAACATCCCCAGTGACTGTGAACCGAGCAGGGACCTAACGGGGAGCTTCTCAGGTAAACCAGAATCCTGATCTTAAAGCTCCGGGTCTTCACGAAAACTGTGGGAAAGGTATCCAGGCCATTTAGCTGTCCATCAAAGGAACAAAAGCAGAAAGCAGCTCTTTCACTGAGGTCATATAAATCTTTTCCACCATTACAGCAACACCTGCACATCCAGAACATGTGAAGGAAACACCACTGGCCCATGCATGAACCGCAGCCTGCTTCAGGGCGGCCCGCCCTCCTCCTGCTTAGGCATGAGACAAGCCTGACAATACCACATCTGGGCGGAAAAGCCTGGAGTGTGTTTGCAGATGACTTTCCTAGCAGCACATCCCAGGAGGTTTCTTAGGTCACACAATGTCTCTAAAGCTGCAGGTGGCTTTGGGCCAGGTGCCCTCCTACGGGGGCCCACGAACAAGGTGGAGCCGGACAGTAGCATGGCGCTTCCCAACAGAATCCAGGGGTCACTTCTGTTTTTATAATTTAATCTGAATGTTCTTTTAATTTGTATTTCATTTATTTATTTATTTATTTATTTATATTTTATTTATTTTTAAGATGGAGTCTCACTGTCACCCAGGCTGGAGTGCAAGTGGCATGATCTCGACTCACTGCAACCTCCGCCTCCTGTCTTCAAGTGATTCTCCTGCCTCAGCCTCCCGAGAAGCTGGGATTACAGGGGCTCGCCACCATGCCGGGCTAATGTTTGTATTTTTAGTAGAGACGGGGTTTCACCATGTTGGCCAGGCTGGTCTCGAACTCCTGACCTCAAGTGATCCGCCGGCTTTGGCCTTCCAAAGCGCTGAGATTGCAGGCATGAGCCACTGTGCCTGGCCTTAATTTTCATTTCTTGTATTATCACTGAGATGAAACATATTTCTATGCATTAACCAGTTTGTTTTTCTTCTTTTTTGAGACAGGGTCTCACTGTCAACCAGGCTGAAGTGCAGTGGTGTGATAACAGCTTACTGCAGCCTCAACTTCTCAGGCTCAAGTGATCCTCCCACCTCAGCCCCCCAGGTAGCTGGGACTACAGGTGTGCACCACCACGTCTGGCTAATTTTTTTGATTTTTTGTAGAGACAGAGTCTTGCCTTGTTGCACAGGCTGGTCTTGAACTCCTAAGCTCAAGAGATCCTCCAGCCTCAGCCTCCCAAAGATGCTGAAATTACAGGAACGAGCCACTTCCCCCTGCCTGTTTTTCTTCATTTGTAACTTGCCAGCTTGGGTTGTTTGCCTGTTTGTTTTTTTAAAATCCTTGGAATCTTGGTATTTTCCTCAGCAACTGACAGATGGACTTACTATACTAACAACGTTAAAGATATTAAAGCTTTGTGAGAATTGCTACAAAACTTTTTCCAGGTCAAGCTACTTTCTTTTTCATTTCACTTACTATTTTCTTTGAAACTAAGTTTTAACTTTTTATCATATTAGCTTTTCCCTTTGGAATTTCCTGTTTCACTTCTAAATTTACCAAGGAGGAAGAAGTCTGCCAGCCCAGGCCCAGGGAAGGAAGCAGTTTCTAATCATAGCCCCAGTTTCTGCAAATTGCTGTGGCCACTATGGGAAGCCAAACAGCTGCTCAGGTGAGAAACAGTGTCAAGGCAGCACTACTATAGGTAATCTCAGATAATTCATTTAAAAGTAATCTTGAGATCAATAAAAATTTCAGCAAACTGATTGGTAGTAGGATTTTTAAAACTGGGACTCAGATACATAATAATTCTTGGACTCTGACCTGCTCTCACCATAATTAGTAATGTTTAATGATGTCAAAGACGTGCGAACTCACTGCCCACACCGAAAGGCAGAGTCCTGCTTGTGATCCACAGTGAGCCCCTGCTCTGCACCCCCAGGCATCGATCCCCTGCTTTCTTCTGCATAAACTGTATCTCATCTATATTCTTCTTTTTTTTCTTTTTTTTTTTCTTGAGACGGAGTTTTGCTCTTGTTGCCCACGCTGGAATACAATGGTACAATCTCAGCTCACCACCACCTCCGCCTCCCTGGTTCAAGCTATTCTCGTGCCTAAGCCTCCCGAGTAGCTGGGATTACAGGTGTGCGCCACCATGCCCGGCTAAATTTTGTTATTTTTTTTTAGTAGAGACAGGATTTCTCCATGTTGGTCAAGCTGGTCTCGAACTCCCGACCTCAGGTGATCCACCAGCCTCGGCCTCCCAAAGTGCTGAGATTACAGACGTGAGCCACCACGCCCGGCCATAGCTCATCTATATTCTTAAAAAGCACCTTTCAGTTGAGTTGTTATAAAAGGGATATCATCTATATATAGTCACCTGACCTATTCATACTGTGCCCACTGCTATTACGAGACGCATGCACGCTGCCAGGCGGTGCTCCTGAAGCACCATGTTGACGTGTGCGTGCTATTCCACCCAACCAACAAACCAGGCTACATGTCCTGTCTCCTGCTGCTCAGAACCAATGCCATTTGCAGACACTTGGCTGTCATGACCTCTGAGGAACATTCTTACACATGAATACCTGGGCAACACATGCTCCAGCACAGGGCTCGGCAAGCATTTTCTAAACAGGGCCAGTAGTGGACAAGTGTCCTGTGGCACACAAGAGAACATCCTCATTCTTAGGAAATAGACACTGATGTGTCTAGAGGTAAAGGGCCTCAAGTGGAGAGAGAAGTGTTTGAATTGTGTTCTTTGTCCTATTTTTATTTTTGCAATGTTTTGTATAAGTTTGAAGTTATTTAAAATGAGTAAGAAAGGCCAGACGCGGTGGCTCACACCTGTAATCTCAGCACTTTGGGAGGCAGAGGCGGGCGATCACCTGAGGTCAGCCTGACCAATATGGAGAAACCCCGTCCCTACTAAAAATACAGAATTAGATGGGCGTGGTGGCAGATGCCTGTAGTCCCAGCTACTCAAGAGGCTGAGGCAGGAGAATCGCTTCAATCCAGGAGGTGGAGGTTGCAGTGAGCCAAGACTGTGCCATTGCACTCCAGCCTGGGCAACAAGAGCAAAACTCTGTTTCAAAAATAACATAACATAACATAACATAACATAACATAACATAACATAACATAACATAACATAACATAAGAAAGAATGAAATATCCCCCTGAAAACTTTTTGTGAACATAAGGGAAAGGAATGGGAAATGTCTCAAACAGACTTGCCCCGACTCTTCAAGCGGAAGTGTGTTTTGGTCGCCCCTCACTCCTATGGCCCCGGGCAGGCTGGACGCTGGCACGTATCGCAGGCTGAACCCATCTCACCAGCCAGAGCACGGCCACAACATGCCCGCGTCTGCCTAGAGGAAGGTTTTGCCCAGAGTCACGCACTCCTGGGCAGAAAGCTTTTAACCCCCAGTTGTGAGAGATGCCTGGACACCATGCCTTCATGAGGACGGCTTGTAGAAAGGACCTTCCAGGCCCAGTCAGCCCCGGGAATAAACATCAGTGTTATAATCAGAATGCTTCAGATCATTGCAAAAGAGCTGGGTTTTGTTTTTTGTGGATGGGCCAAACTAATTTATTATGAGACAGAAACTATGGATTCACATGTTTTTATATAAATTAAGGTATTGTTGACAAATAAAAATTGTATATATTTACTGCATACAATCAGAGGTTTACATATATGTGTACCTTGTGGAATGGTTAAATCGAGCTATTACGCATATGTATCACTTCACATACTTTTTTTTTTTTTTTCCCTTTCTGGAGCAAGAGCAGCTACTTTCCCAGCCAGATGATGAGCTTAAAATATGTGAACCCTACCCCACCCCCATGCAGAGTGAGTCCACTCCTCCTCACCACACACACACACACACACACACACACACACACACACACAACTGGCGGCCCCACCAGCAGACTCCGCAACCTCATCACTCACACACACACACACACACACACACACACACACACACACACACACACACACACACCCGGCAGCCCTGCCAGCAGACTCCGCAGCCTGGAAGGCAGGAAGCAGCCTCCAGCCCCAGCAAGAAGGCAGGTCTTGGCCTTTGGCTGACCTCGGCCACGGTGCCCCAGGCCAGCAGGGCAGTTTCCCCTGCCCGGCAGCTCCCCGGGGAGTCGGGAACCAAGTGCAGCCGGCGAAGATGCCACGGGCACCTGAGACACAGGGCTCCATGTTCCCTCTGGGAAAAAGGGACCCCACCCTGTCCTCAATCACCTTCAACACCAGCACATCTCAGCCGCTTGCACTTCGTGAAGCCTTGGGCTGTCTGAGCTCATTCAACCCCTTCTTTAGAGACGGCGAAATTGAGGGCCAGAGAAAGTGATTTGTCCAAATTCACAGAGCCGAGAAACGGCAGGAGATGGATGCCAACCCCAGCCCCGTCTGCCTGCCCAGATGGGTTATTTGCAGCGACCCTCATTCTACTCTCTGCTTCTATGAGCTCAAATTTTCTAGATTCCACATAGAAATCAGGTCATGCAGTATCTGTCTTTCTGGGCCTGGCTTATTTTACTAAGCGTAATGTCTTCCAGGTTTATCCTTGTCACAAATGACAGGATTTCCTTCTTTTTAAAGGCTGAATAGTATTCCATTGTGTGTGTGTGTGTGTGTGTGTGTGTGTGTGTGTACACATATATTAATAAACATATCAACATACAGGTAACCAAAAAGTGCTAGATTTTACGTAAAAATACTCTAAACTTAAAATTACTTAAAAACATCCTAAATTACTGTCTGGGTGTGGTGGCTCACGCCTATAGTCCCAACACTTTGAGAGGCCAAGGCAGGCGGATCACCTGAGGTCAGGAGTTCGAGACCAGCCCAGCCAACGTGGTGAAACCTCGTCTCTACTAAAAATACAAAAATTAGCCAGGTGTGGTGGCGTACGCCTGTAATCCCAGCTACTTGGGAGGCTGAGGCAGGAGAATTGCTTGAACCTGGAAGGCAGAGGTTGTGGTGAGCTGAGATGGTGTCACTGTACCATTTCTATGTTTACGTAAACTTGGATACACAAATACTCTTAACCACAGTGTTCACTGCAGTAACACACTGCACAGGCGTGTGGCCTGGGAGCAACAGGCTCTAGCGTGGAGCCTAGGCGTGCAGCAGGCAGTACCATCTGGGTGTGTGTAAGTGCCCTTTATGATGCCCACACAATGACAAAAGTGCCTAACAATGCATTTCTCAGAACATATCCCTGTTGGTAAGTGATGCATGACTGTGATTCCTTGGAATGACAGAAGCAAATACTAGAGCACCTGTATTTTTATCTAACAGGGATAACGAATTAGGCTTCCCTAGTAGCGGACACACCAGGCCCCAGCCCCTTCCCGCTGCCCTGGTGTCCCCAGAGCAGCAGGAGTCCATGGCTCTGAGAGTTCAGGGGCGCCCCATCAACAAGGGCTTGGCCCAGGGGATCAAAGGCGATAATGAAGAGCCCACGTTTTAACAAAACAAACTGTTATGGGCTGAACTGTGTGCTCTCAAAATTCGTGTGTTGAAGCCTTAACCCCCAGGACCTCAGAATGCTTCCGTTCTTTACAGAGATAATTAAGTTAAAATGAATCCATCAGGGTGGGCCCTCATCCAATAGGACTGGGTCCTTATAAGACAAGGAGATTAGGTCGGGTGCAGTGGATCACACCTGTAATCCCAACACTTTGGGAGGCCGAGGCGGGTGGATCACCTGAGGTCAGGAGTTCGAGACCAGCCTGACCAACATGGAGAAACCCCGTCTCTACTAAAAAAAAAAATACAAAATTAGCCAGGCGTGGTGGCGTGGGCCTGTAATCCCAGCTACACACTGAAATCCCAGCTACTCAGAAGGCTGAGGCAGGAGAATCGCTCGAACCCGGGAGGCAGAGGTTGCGGTGGGCCCAGATCACGCCACTGCACTCCAGCCTGGGCAACAAAAGCAAAACTCCGTCTCAAAAAAAAAAAAAAAAGACAAGATTAGGACACAGATGCACACAGAGAGAAGACCACGCAAGGACGCAGGGAGAGGACGGCCATCTGCAAGCCAAGGAGACAGGCCACAGAGGGAACCAACCTGCCCACACTGTGATCTTGGATGTCCAGCCTCCAGAACTGTGAGCAAATACTATGTCTGTGGTGAGGCCACCCAGTCGCTGGTACTGTGTTTTGGCAGCCTTAGCAGATAAATACACAAAAGCTTAGGAGGGGTTTGTTCCTGCCGGGGATGAAGAAGGACCTGAGTTGTGGCCAACAACAGGCTGCAGAAAGGCAATGCCATCCTGAAGATTTCTCAACTAAGAGTCTGCACCCATGACAGCCCACCGAGACCCTCGCTCCAAGTTTGTGGAGAAAGGGAACCCGCTTGGCAGCATGTGGAAAGACCCCACGATGAGCAGCAGACACAGCAACGCTGCCTCCTACATCTCGACAGCATCTGTGTAAGACTCGCTAGCATCTGGTGCACACACTGTATGAGACAGCAACAGCCAGAACAGACAGCTTTACGTTGATGAACACACAGACGGTGGCGCATGTTCAGAGATGCCGAGGGGACGCCGCAGTTCCCAAAATCACCTCTGCCTTTTTTTTTTTCTGCAGGGGAGCCAATAAAAAAAGCTGATAAAAGATGAAAAGAGAATACTTAATAAGTAAGCATAATTTATTTAAACTTTTCCAAGCAACCTGAGGTACCTGAATACCTGAAGCACTGGCTCTAGCATCGGTTGGGACACGGGACAAGGAGGCAGTGCTCTCCTATCGCCCCTTCCCAGGAGCTGCTGGCAGCAACAGGTTATGGACTACAATGGGCAGGTCACCCACCACCTGTTTATAAATCTTGGAGAGTCTTCCTCAAAAGTGACAATGGCCTGGACGGGGCCCGACTAAGCCCTGCTGGCTGAGGGGCTCAGGACAGGTGACTTCAGAGCACGCTCCCAGATCTCACTAAATGAAATCACAAAGTTCCTGAAGCACAGAGTTCCAATCGCACTTTCCACCATGTAGTCTTGGCTAAGTCTACAGGAGTGCGGCCGACATATGTGAAGAGGAAGAACTCGGGGCACCTGAACCTTTCCTGCTCACAGTGTGTGGGAAGACATGTGCCGGCCTGTGTCTTCACACACACTTCCAGGGCCCGGCCCCACCACAGCCCGCAGCTACAACATAGCACCCCACCACAGCCCGCAGCTACAACACAGCACATCTGCCCTCCACCTGGGCCTGGGATAGAATCAGGGCAACCAAGAGCTCCAGAGGCTTCTCAGGTGCCCATCACAGGTCACAGTCAATTCCATGTGACCAGTGAGGTCAGCCTGAAATGTGTGACTGAAATACAAGAAGGCCGGGCATGGTGGCTCCTGTAATCCCAGCACTTTGGGAGGTTGAGGTGGGAGGATCACTTGAGCCCAGGAGTTCATGACCAGCCTGGGCTACACAGTGAGACCCCATCTCAAAAAGAAAAGAAGTCAGCACTCTGGGAGGCTGACACAGGCAGATCACTTGAGGTCAGGAGTTTGAGAACAGCCTGACCAATATGGTGAAACCCCGTCTCTACTAAAAACACAAAAATTAGCCAGGCGTGGTGGCACACGCCTGTAATCCCAGCTACTCAAGAGGCTGAGGCAGGAGAATCGCTTGAACCAGGGAGGTGGAGGTTGCAGTGAGCCAAGATAGCGCCACTGCACTCCAGCTTGGGCGACACAGCGAGACTCCATCTCAAAAAATAAATAAATAAATAAAAATAAAACGCAAATTATTTAAATACAAAATAAAAATCAATCCCTGTGATGGTTGCTTTTATGTGTCAACTTGGCCAGGCCATGGTACCCAGTTTTTGGTCCAACTCCAATCTAAACATTGCTATGAAAGTACTTTTTAGATGAGATTAACATCTATACCAGTAGACTCTGAATGAAACAAATTACCCTCCATAATTTGGGTGGGCCTCATCCAACCAGTGCAGGCCTTGAAAGAAAAAAGACTGACCTCTCCTAAGAAAGAGGGAATCTTGCCTTCAGGCTGCCTTCAACATCAGCTTTTCCCCGGGTCTTTAGCCTATGGGCCTGCCTTGCAAACGCTGGACTTGCCAGCCTCTACAATTGTGAGTCAGATCCTTAAAATAAATCTCTCTAGACGCACATCCACACGTATCCTGCTGCTTCTGTTTCTCTGGAGAACCCTGACTAATACATCACCTCTACCACCTCCACACCCTGTCATCACGACAAACAAGAAAACACAACTTGTGCATATGAAAACCTTATCCCTGTGGTCTCCTTGACAGGAACAAGGCTACCTCTCAAGAGTCAGTGAAGTTTTTGTTCATATGCACAAGTCTACTCAATTTAACACATACAGTTATTCAATGATCTCTGGGGGCAGCTGGCCCCACTGAGCCATGAGTCCAGGTGGTGTTAAGGCTCACTGGTTTCGTGGAGACTGGTCCTTCTAGGAACAGCTTGAGAAGTTGAGCTTTGGACAGGGATTCAAATGTAATGCAGAACTTCACCACTTCAGCTGTGGGGCTATGTGGTTCTTCAGAGCAAGCACATCTCCTTCTGTGAGTATCTTCAAGGACAAATCAACACTCATCCCCACTGTCCTGGCCAGGAAAACATGACTGCAAGGAGTGACCACACAGGCTCTGAGCATCAAATTTTGGCTATGGAATCAGGTTTCAAGATGAAACCCACTGCTTTCAGAGTGTTTTGGGCTTTTTTCCCCCTCCCCTGTGATGCAAATGTGAATGTGAAGGGGAAAGCAAAGAACAGGGCATGACAAGGTCACAGCGGCTATCACTGTACATCTGTCTTATTCCCATCTAAAAAACCTGGGAGCCACAGTTCAACAGACATCACCTCTGCCCCCATGGAGGGCCAAGCCACAGCCCACGGCATGGGCTGTGCGTGAAGGAAATGCAGTCGTAATAAAGTTGGAGGGGGAGCGACCAGGAAAACAAATGCCCAGTGAGCTTGTGCTGAATAGCACAGATGCACATCAGGCTTAAACCAACACGATGGTGAAAAACACATCCCTAATTTCTTGAGACCATGTTCTAAGAGGCTTTTAACACAAAAAAATTCATACAAATGCAAATCTTGTCCCTGGAATGCTCTGAAATCCTTCTATTAGATAACCCTCCTATTAGAAATCAGGCCGGAGCTGCTGTGGCCATCAGCTCTCTGGATATAAGACATAAAGAGAACAAATAACAAAATGACAGATGTAAATCCCACTACATACATATTTGCATTAAATGTAAATGAACAAGATACTCAAATCAAAAGGCAGAGATTTACAGAGTAAACAGAAAACATGAACCAACTATATGCTATCCACTAGAAACAAATTTTAAATATAAAAATACAAGTACGGTGAAACTAAAAGAACGCAAAAGGACATACCATGCAAAGAGTAACCAAAAGAGAGGGAAGTGGCAATACTAACATTAGACAAGTATTAGACAAAACAGACCTGCGGACAAAAATTACTACAAACATTATGATAAAAAGGTAGTCCCTCTGTGCCTCATAACACATGAAACTCTGGATGACATGATTTTATATGTAGTAAATCCCAAAGATTCCATAATAATTATTAGTTAGAGCTAATAAACGAATTCAGGGAAGTTGCAGGATACAAAAGCAACATGTAAAAATCAGTTGCATTTCTATATTTTAGCAATGAACAATCCCAAAAGGAAATTAATTCCATGTACAACAGCATCCAAAAGATGAAGAATGTAGTGTAAATGAATTTTACTTATTCAAGATATTAGTCTCAAAATGGCTAAATACAAGTTTCAATTTAAAAAAATATAATCAAGGAGGTGAAAGACTTACACACTAAAAAATATAAAACACTGCTGAAAGAAATTAAATACAAACAAATGGAAAGACATCTTTGTTAATGGATTGGAAGACATAATATTGTTAAGATGACAATACAATCCAAAGCCTTCTAAAGACTCAATGCAATCCCTTTGAAAATTCCAACAGCACTTTGTTTTTGCAAAAATAACCCATTTTAAAATTCATAGGAATCTCCAAGGACCCAGAATAGCCAAAGCAATCTTGAAAAAGATGAACAAAGTTGGAGACTTCACTCCTTTTTATTTCAAAACTTACCATAAAGCTACAGTAATTGAAACAGTGTGGCACTGGCATAAAGAAAGGCATACTGGCCAATTAAACAGAACAAAGAACCCAGACATAAACCTTCACATATGTGGCCAAACAATTTTCAACAATGATGTCAAGATCATTCAATGGAAAAAGAATAGTCTTTTCAACAAATTGTGTTAGGAAAACTGAATATCCACACATACATGAATTATGTTGGACCATTACCTTATATAATATACAGAAAAGTTAATTTGGCCTGGCGTGGTGGCTCACTCCTGTAATCCCAGCACTTTGGGAGGCCGAGTCGGGCAGATCACAAGGTCAAGAGATCGAGACCATCCTGGCTAACACGGTGAAATCCCGTCTCTACTAAAAATACAAAAAATTAGCTGGGTGTGGTGGCGGGGGCCTGTAATCCCAGCTCCTAGAGAGGCTGAGGCAGGAGAATCGCTTGAACCCGGGAGGCGGAGCTTGCAGTGAGCCGAGATTGCGCCACCGCACTCCAGCCTGGGCGACAGAGCAAGGATCTGTCTCGAAAAAAAACCAAACACACACACAAAAAAGAAAAGTTAATTCAAAACAGATCAACGCCTAAACATCGGATCTAAAACTATAAAACTCTTAGAAGAAAACAGGAGAAATGCTTCATGACATCAGATTTGGCAATGATTTCTTGGATATGACACCAAAAACACTGGCAACAACAGAATTAATAGACCAGGTGCTGTTGCTCACATCTGTAATCCCAACACTTTGTGAGGATGAGGTGGGAGGATCACTTGAGCTCAAGAGTTCAAGACTAGCCTGGGCAACACAGCTAGACCTTGTCTCTACTAAAAAATAAAATAAGGCTGGGCGTGATGGCTCATGCCTGTAATCCCAGCACTTTGGGAGGCCAAGGCAGGCAGATCGCTTGAGGTCAGGAGTTCCAGACCAGCCTGACCACCATGCAGAAACCCTATCTCTGCTAAAAATACAAAATTAGCCAGGCGTGGTAGTGGGCGCCTGTAATCCCAGCTTGAGTAGCTTGAGGCTGAGGCAGGAGAACTGCTTGAACACGGGAGGCAGAGGTTGCGGTGAGCCAAGATTGCGCCATTGCACTCTAGCCTGAGCAACAAGACCAAAACTCTGTCTCAAAAAAAAAAAGAAAAAAGAAAAAGAAAAGAAATAAAATAAAAAGTAGCTGCACGTGGTGGCTCACACCTGTAGTCCCAGACACTCAGGAGGCTGAAGTGGGAGGATCGCTTGAGCCCAGGATATCAAAGCTGCAGTGAGCCATGACTGCACCACTGAACTCCAGCCTGGGTAACAGCCTAGGTAACTCATCTCAAAAAATAAATAAACAATAGATAGTACCCAAAGCAATCTACAAATTCAATGCAATCTACAGGTTCAATGCAATCTACAGATTCAAAGCAATCTACAGATTCAATGCAATCTACAGATTCAATGCAGTCTCTATCAAAATACCTACCATATTCTTCATGCAAATAGAAAAAGAAATCCTAAAATTTGTGTGGAACCACAAAAGACTTGGAATAGCAAAAGCTATCCTGAGCAAAAGAACAAGGCTGGAGGCATCACACTACCTGACTTCAGAATATACTACAGAGGCTGGGCATGGTGGCTCCCGCCTGTAATCCCAGCACTTTGGGAGGCTGAGGTGGGCGGATCACCTGAGGGCAGGAGTTCGAGACCAGCCTGGCCAACATGGTGAAACACCGTCTCTGCTAAAAACAAAAAAATTAGCTGGGTGTGGTGGCGCACGCCTGTAATCCCCAGCTACTCAGGAGGCTGAGGCAGGAGAATCGCTTGAACCCGGGAGGCGGAGGTTGCAGTGATCCAAGATTGCGCCATTGCACTCCAGCCTGGGTGACAGAGTGAGACTCCGTCTCAAAAACAAAACAAAACAAAAAAAACTACAGAGATATAGTAACCCAAACAGCACACTATTGTCATAAACACAGACACATAAACCAATGGAACAGAATAGAGCCTGGAAATAAATGCATGCATTTGCAGCCAACTGATTTTTAACAAAGGTGCCAAGAACACACAATGAGAAAAGGATAGGTTCTTCAATAAACGGTGTTGAGAAAACTAGATACACACATACAGAAAAATAATATCAGACCTTGGCTTCTCAACATAGACAAAAATCAACCCGAAATGAATTAAAGACTTAAATGTGGCCAGGTGCGGTGGCTTAGCCTATAATCCCTGCGAAGCCCAGGCAGGGGGATCACCTGAGCTCAGGAGTTTGAGACCAGTCTGAGCAACATGGTGAAACCTTATTTCTACAAAAAAACACAAAAATTAGGCGGTGGCTCACACCTGTAATCCCAACACTTTGGGAGGCTGAGGCAGGAGGATCACTTGAGGTAAGGAGTTTGAGACTAGCCTGGCCAACATGGTGAAACCCTGCCTCCACTAAAAATACAAAAATTAGCCGGGCATGGTGGTGCACACCTGTAATCCCAGCTACTCAGGAGGCTGAGACAGGAGAATCGTTTGAACCTGGGAGACAGAGGTTGCAGTGAGCCAAGATCGCGCCACTGCTCTCCAACCTGGGCGACAGAGTGAGACTCCGTCTCAAAAAAACAAAACAACAACCAACCAAAATTTAGCCAGGCATGATGGTGCACACCTGTAGTGCCAGGTACTGGAGAGGCTGAGGTGGGAGAATTGCTTAAGCCCAAAAGGGCAAGGCTGCAGTAAGCCATGATTGCCCCACTGCATTCCAGCCTGGGTGACAGAACGAGACCTTGTCAAAAAAAAAAAAAAAAAAAAAAAAGGGAGAAGAAACTCCCTAACCATTAGCAGTTATTCTCACTTTTTCTACCCGTTCTTCACTGATCCTCTCTCCCCTGCTTTCTGGCCCCAGGCAATCACCTGTCTACTCTCTGTCTCTGTATATTTGCCTATTCTGGACTTTCCCCCTTGTATCTAACTGTAAATGTGTATCCTTTGACCAACATCTTCCTCTCTCCCCTTCCGCCAGCCACCCCAGCCTCTGGTAACCACCATTCTGCTCTGTTCTTCTGTGGCATCAGCGTTTTCAGATTCCACATGTGAGTGAGATCGTGCAGTACTTGTCTTTCTGTGCCTGGCTTATTTTGAGGAAATAAAGCCTCAAAAGCAAAGGCCACAAAAGAAAAAATAGACAAATGGGATTACATCAAACTAAAAATGTTCTGCACAGCAAAGGAATCAATCAACAAAGTGACAATCTACAGAATGCAGGAAAATATCTGCAAACCATATAACTAATAAGGGATTAATAATGAAAATATACAAAGAATTCAAACAACTCAATTGTAAAAGATCTGAATGGATATTTCTCAAAAGAAGGTGTACAAGTGGCCAACAGGTGTATGAAAAAATGCTCAACATCGCTAATCATCAGGGAATCCAAATCAAAACCACAATGAGCTATCACCTCACACCTGTCAGACTGGCTCTTGTCAAAAAGGCAAAAGATAACAAGTGTTGTCCAGGGTGTGGAGAAAGGGAAACCCTTGTACACTGTTGGTGGAGATGTAAATCAGTATAGCCATTGTAGAAAACAGTGCCGGGGGTTCCTCAAAATATTAAAAATAGAACTACCATATGACCCAGCAACACCACTGTTGGGTATATATCTAAAAGAAATGAAATCCGTATGTCCAAGAGATCGCTGTACCCCATGTTTATTGCAGCACCTTTCACAACAGCCAAGACATGGAATCAACCTAACTGTCCATCAACAGATGAGCAAGGCCGGGCCTGGTGGCTCACATCTGTAATCCTAGCACTTTCAGGAGGAAAGGAGGATTGCTCCAGCCCAGAAGTTCAAGACCAGCCTGGGCAACATAGTGATACCCCATCTCCATTTAAAAAATAATTAAAATTAAAAAAACAAAAACAGGCCGGACACGATGGCTCATGCCTATAATCCCAGTACTGGGAGGCCGAGGCAGATGAATCACTTGAGGCCAGGAGTTCGAGACCAGCCTGGCCAACACGGTGAAACCCCTTCCTCTACTAAAAATGCAAAAAAATTAGTCAGGCTTGGTGGCACCTCCTGTAATCCCAGGTACTTGGGAAGCTGAGGCATGAGAATCACTGGAACCCAGGAGGCGGAGGTTGCAGTAAGCTGAGATCACACCACTGCACTCCAGCCTGGGTGACAGAGTGAGACCCTGTCTCAAAACAAACAAACAAAAACTGGATTATGGTGATGGTTGTTGCACAGCTCCAGAAATCTTCTAAAAATTATTGTATAGTTGTCCCTGAAACAACACGTGTTTGAACCATGCGGGTCCACTTATTTGCAGACTTTTTCCAGTAAAAGTTACACGGTGTATGCCTGCCTCTCTAGCCCCTCCTTCCACCTCCCTCCACTTCTGCCTTTGCCACCCCCAAGACAGCAAAACCAACCCATCCACTTCCTCCTCCTTGGCCTGCTCACTGTGAGCTTTTTGAGGATGGAGACCTTTCTGATGATCCACTTCCACGTGATGAGTAGTCAGTTTATTTCCTCTTCCTCATGATTTTCTTAACAACATTTTCTTTTCTCTAGCTTACTTTATTATGAGAACACAGTATGTAATACATATAACTTACAAAATCTCTGTTAATCAACTGTTTATGTTATCAGTAAGGTTTCTGGTCAATAGCAGGCTATTCGTAGTTTTAACTTTTGGGAAGTCACGTAGTTTTAACTTTTGAGAAGTCAAAAGTTATACTTGTCCAGCCTGGCCAACATGGTGAAATCCCATCTCTACTAAAAATATAAAATTAGCCAGGCATGGTGGCGGGTGCCTGTAATCTCAGCTACTCAGGAGGCCGAGGCAGGAGAATCGCTTGAACCCGGGAGGCAGAGCTTGCAGTGAGCCGAGACAGAGCGAGACTCCGTCTCAAAAAAAAAAAAAAAAAAAAAAAAGGTTAAAGGCCAGGCTCGGTGGCTAACGCCTGTAATCCCAGCACTCTGGGAGGCAGAGGCAGAGGCGGGCAGATCACCTGAGGTCAGGAGGTCGAGATCAGCCTGACCAACACAGTGAAACCCCCTCTCTACTAAAAATACAAAATTAGTGGGAGTGGTGGCGCATGCCTGTAATCCAAGCTACTTGGGAGGCTGAGGCAGGAGAATGGCTTAAACCCAGGAGGCAGAGGTTGCAGTGTGCCAAGATCGTGCCATTGCACTCTATCCTGGGCAATAAGAGCGAAACTCCATCTCAAAAAAAGTTACACTCGGATTTTCAACTGCACAGGGGGTTGGAATCCCTAACCCCCTCGTTCACAGGCCAGCCAAACGTATACTTAAAAGTAGGTGAATTTTATAAAGTAGGTATATTATACCTCAATAAACAAAATTTTTGTTTAAAATTTTTGTTTTTAAAGCATGCTAATATTTTTAAATTGGAATTGGGTTAAATTTATAGATCAATATGAAGAGAACTGATGTCTTTACTATGTTGAGTGTTCCAACCACTGACCATGGTATGTTCCCCCATTTACTTAAATGATCTTTGATTTCTCTCATCTTCAGCATACAGATCCTGTAAGTCTTATTCAATGTATACCTAAGTATTTGATTCCTTTGAAGCAAACGAAATGTTGTGTTTTTAAATTTAATTTTCTTTTTTTTTTTTTGAGACGGAGTCTCGCTCTGTTGCCCAGGCTGGACTGCAGTGGCGCGATCTCGGCTCACCACAACCTCCGCCTCCCGGGTTCAGGCGATTCTCCTGCTTCAGCCTCCTGAGTAGCTGGGACTACAGGCGCACGCCACCATGCCCAACTAATTTTTGTATTTTTAGTAGAGACAGGGTTTCACTATGTTGGCCAGGCTGGTCTCGAACTCCTGCCCTTGTGATCCGCCCGCCTCGGCCTCCCAAAGTGCTGGGATTACAGGCGTGAGCAACCACGCCCAGCCAAATTTAACTTTCTAATTGTACATTGCTAGTACAGTAGTCCCCACTTACCTGTAGTTTCATTATCTGCAATTTCTGTTTCCCCAGTTATAGCTGCCTACAGTCAACTGCCCTCCAAAAATAGGTGAGTGCATACAAAAAGATATTTTGAAAGAGAGAACACATTTATATAACTTTTATTCAGTATATAATTATTCTATATTATGAACAGTTATTGTTGGTAATCTCTTACTGCGCCTAATTTGTAAATTAAGCTTTATCATAGGCATAGATGTATAGGGAAAAAAACCACAGTACACGGAGGGTTCTGTCTTATCTCAGGTTTCAGGCTTCCATTGGAACGTATCGTCCATGGATAACAAGGACTGTTGTAAACAGAAATAAGGTCAGCTTGTATAGTGTTGACTTTGCATGTATCTCCCCATGGATAAGGGGCACTGCTGTATGCAGAAATAAGGTCGCCAGGCCGGGCCCGGTGGCTCACGCCTATAATCCTAGCACTTTGGGAGGCCGAGGCAGGCGGATCACCTGAGGTTGGGAGTTCCAGACCAGCCTGACCAACACGGAGAAACCCCATCTCTACTAAAAACACAAAATTAGCCAGACATGGTGGCACATGCCTGTAATCCCAGCTACTCGGGAGGCTGAGGCAGGAGAATCGCTTGAACCCGGGAGGCAGAGGTTGCGGTGGGCCGAGATCGCACCATTGCACTCTAGCCTGGGCAACAAGAATGAAACTCTGTCTCAAAAAAAAAAAAGAAAAATAAGGTCGCCTTCTGTGTGTTGACTTTGTATCTTGTGACCTTGCTAACCTCATTAATTAGTTCTAGTAGCTTTTTCATAGATTCCCTGGATTTTCTATGTAGATAATCATGTTGTCAGCAAATAGGGACAATTTTCCCTTTCCAATTTGTATGCCTTTTCTTTCTTTGTCTGATACTATTGCACTGGCTAAAATAAGGTTTTTAAATTATGTCAGTGTAATTAATCCATGCTTTATCAATGGCCTCTAAGGGTTGGCTAAATTTTAATAGGAAAAACAATGAGAATAGCTTGGACATGTTAGTTAAAACTTCACACTATAAAATATGTTTTGGGTGGGCGCGGTGGTTCACGCCTGTAATCCCAGCACGTTGGGAGGCCGAGGTGGGTGGATCACCTGAGGTCAGGAGTTTGAGACCAGCCTGGCCAACATGGCAAAACCCTGTCTCTACTAAAAATACAAAAATTAGCTGGGTGTGGTGGCAGGCGCCTGTAATCCCAGCTACTCGGAAGGCTGGGGCAGGAGAATTGCTTGAACCCAGGAGGTGGAAGTTGCAGTGAGCCGAGATCACACCATTGCACTCCAGCCTGGGCAACAAGAGCAAAACCCTGTCTCACAAAAAATAAAATAAAATAACATAACATAAAAGAAAAGAAAACAAAGGAGGGAGGGAGATGTTAGCTATTATTTAAACCCAAAGTCACCTTTAGCATTATAAACTTGAGTATGTGCACAAAGATACAGACACAAGCATTGACTGTAGTGGTGAAAAACAGTAAATAACTATAATGTCAATCAACAGGAGGCTGATAAAATTATGAAACATCCACACTACAGAATACTATAGTGATTTGGCCGGGCACAGTGGCTCATGCCTGTAATACCAGCACTTTGGGAGGCTGAGGCGGGCAGATCACTTGAGGTCAGGAGTTCAAGACCAGCCTGGGCAACATGGCAAAACCCCGTCTCTACTAAAAAGACAAAAATTAGCCGGGTGTGGTGGTGCGTGCCTGTAATCCCAGCTACTCAGGGGGCTGAGGTGGGAGAACCACCTGAACCCAGGAGGCATAGGTTGTGGCGAGCCGAGTTTGCGTCACTGCACTCCAGTCTGGGCCACAGAGTTAAGACTCTGTCACAAAAAAAAAAAAAAAAAAAAAAAAAAAAAAGGAATACTATACGGTTATTTAAAAGATTGAGGGAAATCTGTGTGTACAGACTATATATATCAACATGTAAAGATTGCTAAGATCTTTAAGTAACCAAACATCATTAAGTGAAAAATGTATGACGATAATATATGCAATATGATCTCACTATGTTATTTAAAAAATTACTTATGCACAGAAAAGACTATTATACTACTTAGAAGTACCGAGGGAATTTCACTTTTAGTATACACGGTTCTATGCTGTTTAATGTTTTTAATGAACTATAGTTTTGTAATTTTTCTCATCACTTTATCATTTTAGTCTCTCTCTCAGGCTGTATCCGAGAGCCACACTTTTCAGACCCTTGTATCTTTACTCTTCAGGGACAAACCAGAGCATAGCTGAATCTCCAACGCCTTATGCTAAGCGAAACAAGCCAGACTCCAAGCCCACATGTGACATTCTGGAATGGGCAAAGCAGGAGGACTGAGGAACAGACAGGCGGCTGCAAGAGCGGGGAGGAGAGAGGCTGCCTTCCTGAGTATCCTGACTGCGGTGGAAGTCACTACAGTCCATGCACCTGCTACAGCTCACTGAACTGAACACCAAAAAGTGAATCTTACTAAAAGTTTAAAATAAATTTAAACACACACACAAACTTAGGGGGTACATTTTCTTTGAGCGCAGCACAGACACCTGTCTTAACGCAGGAAACGTCCTCCGCCACGACTCCAGGGCGCCTCGGTCGCAGTGAGGGCACCGGCACTATATCCCTACTGGCCCTACGAGTGCACACCTGCTACGGCCCGCGCCCACTCACAGCGTGACTCGTTCTTCCAGGCTCCGTGCCTGCAGATCTAGACATCACTTGGAAAACCGCTGGCCACCCGCAGGGAAAAGGCAGCATGCGTGGGGCCCCCGCGGGTCCCGGCCTGGCCGGGACTCTGCCGCCAAGCTGTCAAGCATAGCAATGTGCGCACTGCACCAGGCATCACCGCGGCTCCGACCACGCCTCATTCCGGAGTCCGACGGACGACTGCAAGAAACACCACCGCTCCCGGCGCAGCCACGGTGCCCTCCGCCGCCAGAAAACAAACGCTCCCGAGCCTCAGTCCCCAGCGGCGACCACGCGGCGCTGGGCTCAATCAGCAGCCGCTCCCTGACTGGACTTAATAGCGGAGCTGACACCGTCCAGACGCCCCTCTCAGCTTAAAACACGTTCCATCAACCCCGTTTCCCGATTATTCTTGCACCCTTCTTGTCACACCCACAATGTGCTGCAAATTAAGCTCACGCATTTCAGCCTTAAAATACACAATTCAGATGCTTGTGCGAAACAGTGCTGCCTCCGTAACGATCGCGCCTCCTTAACAAAGCCCAAAACTCCTCTCTCCAAGAATGCCCGGAATGGCTCCGCGGACCAGGCTCCCTCCGCTCCTCACAGGGGCACGAAACAAAAACGGGTTCAGATCTTGCTGCGCGACCTTAGTGCAACATTAACAATCTGCCTGCTCCTTACTTTCCAACAAAAACGTCAAACACTAAGGTATTCCTTCGCCACTGGAGCTGTGCCATGTGCCGGGGCGCGGAATCCGGGATCCGGGGGCGCGAGGCGGTGAACGCGGGGGCGGGGAGCTCGGGGCCGAGGCCGAAAGGCCGGGGGCGCAGGGACCGGGAAGCCAGTGCAGGGAGTGCGGGGACCTGGAGCCCGGGAGGCGCGGGAGCCCGGGGCCGGGACCTGGGGGACGCGGGGACCAGGACGATCCCGGAGGCCGCGCCGCCGGGGAGGCCGCGCCGCCGGGGTTGGGGGGGAGGGGGGGGTCCGTCCCGGCCCCGCCGCCGCCCTGGCCGGCCCAGGTTCCGAGGGGGACCCGGACCCCGCGGAGGCCGCAGGGCAGGCGCGGGCGAGCGGGGTTCCTCACCTGCGTCCGCGGCGGCTTGGGGGTCCTGGGCGGGCCCTGGGAGTTTCCTTGGCCGAGTGAGTCACTCGGGCTGGCCGGGAATGCGCCAGGAAACACTCGGCCTCCTCCCCTTCCTCCCGGGGCGGGGGCTCTCCCGGCTCGGCCTCTTCCTCCCGGCGCTCCTCCCTCCCGGCCGCGGCCCCGGCCGCTCCCTCCTCCTGGCGGGGCATCCCCGGCCGGGCGGCCCCTTTCCCCACGCCAGCCGCCGAAGGTGTCCTCCCAGGCAGAGAGCCCCTGGCTACCTGCCGGCCTGGGTCACCGCAGCCTGCGCGGGACGGCGGGGTCGGAGCGGAGCGGGCGTGGGGTCCTCCTGCGGGTCCGTCCGGTTCGGAGCGCGAAGGAACGGGGTCCGCACCCTGTCCCGGGGCTCCACCGGGTCAGGGCGGGGGTTGGCCTGAGCTGCGGAAGGAGCTCAGGGGGACACCCAGGACGCCCGTGTGGCGCCGCCCCACTTGGCAGGAGGCGCTCACCTGCGCTCGTCGGGAGGGTTCCAGGCGCGGGTCCCAGCTGCAGGTCGGCGCGCAGAGCCCGCTGGGGACCCCCCCGGCCGGCCCCTGCGGCCCCATTGCCTGCGGGAACCAGGGACAAATCCGTGCGCAGACCTGCGGGAACGGCGGACGGAAGAAAACCTGATTTGAGCTCGTGCCAAAAAACAATCTTGAAAGGCCGGTGAAGAAACATACCTCACACGGAAACGCTGAGTGGAGTCAGCTGGTCACAGGCGTGTTTAGGAAAACTGCCCTAAACGCCCCGCTCAGCCGCAGCAACCTCACTCCCCATTCATCCGCGACCCCTGGTTCTTACGGAGAACAGTAAGGATGGGCATCAGATATTCTAGTCTGGTCTCTAGATTATGAAGGTTTGGTTACCCCCGCTTGTGCTCTGCGGTAAGGCAAAAAGCAGCAAATGAATCCTGACCAGCGGATTGAGACAATCTACCAGTTGACTCAATATTCGGATATCACTTTCTCACATTCCTGCAAAACAGGGGCTTTGGATAACATTCTGGTTCCCAGTCCACACATTTTCAAATCAGCAGATTACTCCTTTTCTGTGCCTAGGGTGGAGTCTCAAAATTAGATTCCAAAGGTTTTTACATTGTAGATGACATGATAGAACCCAAATTCAAGTTATACTGTGATAATTTAAAATATTGTAATCCCGGCCGAGCGCAGTGGCTCACGCCTGTAATCGCAGCATTTTGGGAGTCCGAGGCGGGCGGATCACCTGAGGTCAGGCGTTCGAGACCACACTGGCCAACATGGTGAAGACCCCGTCTCTACTAAAAATACAAAAATTAGTCGGGCATGGTGGTGTGGGCTTGTAATCCCAGCTACTCGGGAGGCCGAGGCAGGAGAATCGCTTGAACCCAGGAAGTGGAGGTTGCAGTGAGCCAAGATCGTGTCGCTGCACTCCGGCCTGGGCGACAGAGCAAGACTCCGTCTTAAAATAATAAAATATTGTAATCCCTAGAGCAATTAATAAAAAATAATACAGCTAAAAATCCAAGAAAAGAGATAAAATAGAATACAAAAATATGCTTGATCCAAAAGAAAGCAGGAAGGAAGGAGCAAAAAGCACATAAGGCAAAGACAAAGAGCAAGCAGTTAGACTTCAACCACATTAGTAATCACATTGAATGTAAATGGACTAAACATGTAATCCGTTTACTAACTGTAAATGGATTAAAACACAGAAATTGTCACATTGGATTAAAAACGAGACCCAAATATATTCTGTTTTAAGAAGACATAATTTTGGCCGGGCACAGTGACTCATGCCTGTTAATCCCAGCACTTTCGGAGGCCAACGCGGGTGGATCAACTGAGGTCAGGAGTTCAAGACGAGCCTGACCCACATGGCAAAACCCCGTCTTTACTAAAAATACAAAATTAGCTGGGTGTGGTGGCACATGCCTATAATCCCAGCTACTCAGGAGACTGAGGCAGGAGAATCGCTTGAACCCGGGAGGCAGAGGTTGCAGTTAGCTGAGATTGCGCCATTGAACTCCAGCCTAAGCAACAAGAGTGAAACCTGGTCTCAAAAAAAAAAAAAAAAAAAGACATAATTTAAATATAAGGACACAAAGAGGCTGAAATTAAAAAGATGCAAAAGGACATGCTAATCAGAAAGGTGGAGTGATTATATTAATATCAAAGTAGAATTCAACTCAAGGGGCACTATCAGTGATAAAAAGGACATTTGATAAAAATAAATGGGTCAATTAAGTATGAAAAAATAGGCCGGGCATGGTGGCTCACGCCTGTAATTCCAACACTTTGGGAGGCTGAGGCGGGCAGGTCATCTGAGGTCAGGAGTTCGAGACCAGCCTGGCTAACATACCCTGTTTCTACCAAAAATACAAAAAATTAGCCAGGTCTGGTGGCACATGCCTGTAATCCCAGCTACTCGGGAGGTTGAGGCAGGAGAATCGCTTCAACCTGGGAGGCGAAGGTTGCAGTAATCCCAGCTACTTGGGAGGTTGAGGCAGGAGAATCACTTGAACCCGGGAGGCGGAGGTTACAGTGAGCCAAGGTCGTGCCATTGCACTCTAGCTTGGGCAACAAGAGTGAAACTCCGTCTCAAAAGAAAAGGAAGAAAAAATAACTTTTAGTGCATATATACATCAAATAAGTTTTGAAATATTTAGACAAAGATGGATAGAATCAAAAGAAGAAATAGGCGAATACACACTCATAGAGATTTGAACTTCTCTCTATTAGTAATTGATAGGACAGGCAGACACAAAAAGAAGTAAAGATACAAAATTTTTTTTAAGTAATTAACGTATTATACCTAAATGGCACCTCCACAAAACAGAATACAGAATGCATTGTACGGAATGAAAGATGTTCAGACGCTTTGTACTGAAGACTTCAAGCTGTTACTGACAGGAATTAAAGTTTTCAAATAAACACGTAACATTCACAAAATATACCATATGTTAGGAAGTAAAACAAGTCTCATCAGATTTCAAAGGGTCAAAATTATTTACAGTAGTTCCCACCTCATCTTCTGGGGGATAAGCTTCAAGACCCCTGGTGGATGTCTGAAAGGACAGATAGTAGCACACTCTACACTGTATAGACTATATATTTTTCTATATATGCAGGCCTATGATAAAGTTTAATTTATAAAGTACACACAGGTCGGTAATCCCAGCATTTTGGGAGGTCAAGGTGGGCGGATTGCTTGAGCTCTGGAGGCAGAGGTTGCAGTGAGCTGAGATTGTGCCACTGCACTCCAGCCTGGGCGATAGAGTGAGACTCACAGAGTGAGATTCCATCTAAAAATAAATAAATAAATAAATTAGACACAGTAAGACATTAACAATAATAAAAATAGAACAATTGTAGTGGTATACTATAATAAAAGTGATGTAGTTCGTCTCTCTCTCAAAATATCTCATTATACTGTACTAGTAGTCCCCCTCCTCTGAGTTCCAGTTACTCATGGTCAACCATAGTCTGAAAATAGGTGAGTATAGTACAGTGCTTATTTAAAAACAACCATTAGGCCAGGTGCGGTGGCTCATGCCTGTAATCCCAGCACTTTGGGAGGCCGAGGCAGTGGATTGCTTGAGCTCAGGGGTTCGAGACCAGCCTGGCCAACAGGACAAAACCCCCTCTCTACAAAATACAAAAATTAGCTGGGCATAGTAGGCGGTGCCTGTGGTCCCAGCTACCACTGAGGCTGAGGCAGGAGAATCACTTGAACCCGAGAGTTGGAGGTTGTAGTGAGCTGACATCGTGCCACTGCACTCCAGGCTGGGCGACAGAGCATGACCCTGTCTCAAAAAAATAGAACGAAATAAAATAAAATAAAATAAATAACCATTTAAAGCCTCTGGAAATGGGCCTAAGGGCAAACAGCCAATGAAGAATTATCTATAGAAATGAGACTACTATACAGCAATGGAACAGAATAGTGAAAATTAAGTACACATTATTTGGTCAATTGGTTTTCAATTAAGATGCTAAAGGACTTCCATGGAGAAAGAAAACTCTTTTTTGGCTGGGCACAGTGGCTCACACCTGTAATCCCAGCACTTTGGGAGGCCAAGACGTGCAGATCATCTGAGGTCAGGAGTTCGAGACCAGCCTGGCCAACGTGGCGAAACCCTGTCTCTACTGAAAATACCAAAATTAGCTGGGTGTGGTGGCGAGTGCCTGTAATCCCAGCTACCCCGGGGGCTGAGGCAGGAGAATCACTTGAATCCAGGAGACAGAGGTTGCAGTGAGCTGAGATCATGCCACTGCACTCCAACCTGGCAACAGAGAGAGACTCCGTGTTAAAAAAAAAATAAAAGAAACTTTTTTTAAAAATGGTGCTAGAATAACTGCATAACGATGTACAAAAACTGAAACTCAACTTCCTCCCCAACACCATGTACAAAAAGTAACTGGCTGTGTATGGATCATAGACCTAAATTTGAAAGCTAAAGATACAAAGCTTCTAGAAGAAAACATAAGAGAATAATTTTATAACGGTAGAGTAGAGGAAGGCAAGATTTCTCAAAAATGTAGGGTTAGTACCTTTAGGAAAAAAATGATAAATTGATTTGATCGAAATTTAAAACTTCTCATCAAAAGAATGTTAAAAGAGTGAAAAGACATAGACAATATTGCAAGACAATACTGCAATACATATAACAGACAGAGAGTTTGTGTCCAGAATATGTAAAGAACCCAAACAACAATAAAATGACAATGCAGGAAAAATAGGGCAAAAGACTTTAACTCACACTTCAGAAAGAAACCACATTGGAAGTCTTTTATAAAATTCAACATATATATCTCCTATGATGGTAATTCTACTTCTAAGTATTTACCTAATAGAAATACAAATTAATCTCTGCACAAAAACTTGTATAATTAATAGTCTTTTGTTTTTTCTTTTTTGTTTTTTTTGAGATGGAGTTTCACTCTTGTTGCCCAGGCTGGAGTACAATGGCGTGATCTCTGCTCACCACAACCTCCACCTCCCGAGTTAAAGCGATTGTCCTGCCTCAGCCTTCCGAGTAGCTGGGATTACAGGCATGCGCCACCACTCCTGGCTAATTTTGTATTTTTAGTAGAGATGGGGTTTCTCCATGTTGATCAGGCTGGTCTCAAACTCCCGACCTCAGGTGATCCGCCTGCCTCGGCCTCCCAAAGTGCTAGGATTACAGGCATGAGCCACCACACCTGGCTGTATAATGAATATTCTTACCAGCTTATTTATAATCGCAAAAAACTAGAAACAACCCAAAGTGCACAAATAGGAGAATGGATAAACAAATACTGTTCATATAATGGAATATTACTCAGCAATAAAAAGGAAAGAACAAATCAAAAGGATTTGTTCTTGTGTTTTTCTATTTCACACTCATTAGGATGCCTACTATCAACAAACAGCTACTTGGGAGGCTGAGGCAGGAGAATCGCTTGAACCCAGGAGGCGGAGGTTGCAGTGAGCCAAGATCCTGCCACTGCACTCCAGCCTGGGCGACAGAGTGAGACTCCATCTCAAAAAAAAGAAATAATAGGCCGGGCACGGTGGCTCATGCCTGTAATTCCAGCACTTTGGAAGGCCGAGATGGGCGGATCACAAGGTCAGGAGATCGAGACCATCCTGGCTAACACGGTGAAACCTTGTCTCTATCAAAAATACAAAAAAATTAGCTGGGTGTGGTGGCGAGTGCCTGTAGTCCCAGCTACTCAGGAGGCTGAGACAGGAGAATGGTGTGAACCCGGGAGGCAGAGCTTGCAGTGAGCCGAGGTCACGCCACTGCACTCCAGCCTGGGCGACAGAGCAAGACTCTGTCTCAAAAAAAAAAAAAAAATAATAATAATAATAAAATAAAAATAAACAAAATAACAAGTATTGGCAAGGATATGATGAAATTGGAACTCTGTGTACTCTTAGTGGGCATGTAAAATGGTGCCACTATGGAAAACAATATGATGAAAAAAGTTTTTAAAAGGGGAAGAAAATGGATATACAAGTAGTATTATAAAATAGATGAACCTCAAAACTATTCTGTAATTTTCCACACACAAAAGACCATGTACATATTGTGGGATTTCATCTATATGAACTTCCATGACAGATAGCACCACTACTCACTGGTGACAGAAGTCAGAAATTGGCCGGGCGTGGTGGTTCACCCCTGTAATCCCAGCACTTTGGGAGGCCAAGGCGGGTGGATCACTCGAGGTCAGGAGTTCGAGACCAGCCTGACCAACATGGCGAAACCCCATCTCTACTAAAAATACAAAAAATTAGCCGGGTGTGGTGGTGGGTGCCTGTAATCCTAGCTACTCAGGGGGCTGAGGCAGAAGAATCACTTGAACCCAGGAGGTGGAGGCTGCAGTGAGCTGAGATTGCGCCACCGCACTCCAACCTGGGCAACAGAATGAGACTCTGTCTCAAAAAAAAAAAAAGAAAGAAAAGGAAGTCAGAAATCGTTAAATCGTTTGCTTGGGTGAGGTGGTCTGCAGGGAATAGGATGGACTGAAAAGAGGCGTGTAGGAAACTTCTGGGGACTTGGAAATATTCTGCATCTTTGTCAGGCTGATATTGACACAAGCATATTATGTCAGTCAGGGTTCAACCAGAAAAGCAGAATCAGTAGGAGATACATATTAGGAGATTTACTGCAAGGAATTGGCTTATGCACTATGGGGGCTGGCTCAGCTAGGATGAAATCTGGAGGGCAGGCCATCAGAAAGTTACTGTCCTGTGGCTGGGGGCGGTGGCTCACGCCTGTAATCCCAGCACTTTGGGAGGCTGAGGCAGGCGGACCACCTGAGGTCAGGAGTTCAAGACCAGCCTGACCAACATGGAGAAACCCCATCTCTACTAAAAATACAAGAAATTAACCGGGCGTGGTGGAACATGCCTGCAATTCCAGCTACTTGGGAGGCTGAGGCAGGAGAATCACTTGAATGGGGGAGGCGGAGGTTGTGGTGAGCCAAGATCACTCCATTGTGCACTCCAGCCTGGGCAACAAGAGCAAAACTCCATCTCAAAAAAAAAAAAAAAGAAAAGAAAGTTACTGTCCTGTTTTTAGGTTTCTGTCACGGTCACAACAAATTACTACAAATTTTTGGCTCTGGTAAACTGAAAAAGCATCCCCCAGCAAATACCTGTGTCAAATCCCTGGAACCTGTGGCTGTTACTACTATGTTGAAACCCCATCACCAAGATGATGGCATTAGGAGGTGGGGCCTTTGGGAGCTGACAGGTCACAAAAGTAGAGTCCTCATGAGTGGGATTTGTGCCCTTATAAAAGACACCCCAGAGGGGGCCAGGCGCGGTGGCTCACGCCTGTAATCCCAGCACTTTGGGAGGCTGAGGTGGGTGGATCATGAGGTCAGGAGATGGAGACCATCCTGGCTAACACGGTGAAACCCCGTCTCTACTAAAAATACAAAAAATTAGCCGGGCGTGGTGGCGGGTGCCTGTAGTCCCAGCTACTCGGGAAGCTGAGGTGGGAGAATGGCATGAACCCGGGAGGCAGAGTTTGCAGTGAGCCGAGATTGCGCCACCACACTCCAGCCTGGGTGACAGAGCGAGACTCCATCTCAAAAAAAAAAAAAAAAAAAAAAAAAAAAGACACCCCAGAGAACAGCCTTGTCCTTTCTGCCATGTGAAGACACAGCCAGACAACAGCCACTGAGAACCAGACAGTGGGACCTCACCAGACACCCACTCTGTGGTGCCTTGATGTTGGGCACTCAGCTTCCAGAACTATGAGTAATACATTTCTCCTGTTTATAGCCACCCAGTCTATGGTGCTTTGTTATAGGAGTCCTGACGGACTAAGACAGTACCTTATATGAAGAAAGAGTCTTAGCGGATCTAAGTTCTTGAGATGGGATCATCTTAGATTATCTGAAGGGGCCCTAAATCCAATAAGCAGTGTGCTTACATGAGACACTGAGAGCAGACCCAGAAAAAGAGGCAGTGTGAACACAGAGGCAGAGATGGGAGTGAAGCAGCCACACAGCCACAAGTCATAGAATGCTGGCAGCCCCCGAAACTGAGCAGGTAAAGAATGGTGGAGGCAAGGCCCTATTGCTGCCTTGAATTTTGGCCTTCCAGCCCCCAGAACTTGAAGATAATTAATATCTGGTTTTTTTGGCCGGTTGCGGTGGCTGAAGCCTGTAATCCCAGCACTTTGGGAGGCCAAGGCGGGCGTATCACGAGGTCAGGAGATCGAGACCATCCTGGCTAACACAGTGAAACCCCGTCTCTACTAGAAAATACAAAAAAAATTAGCCGGGCGTGGTGGTGGGTGCCTGTAGTCCCAGCTACTCGGGAGGCTGAGGCAGGAGAATGGCGTGAACCTAGGAGGCAGAGCTTGCAGTGAGCCGAGATCGCGTGACTGCACTCCAGCCTGGACGACAGAGCGAGACTCCGTCTCAAAAAAAAAAAAAATCTGTTTTTTTGTTGTTTGTTGTTTGTTTGTTTTTTGAGACGGAGTCTTGTTCTGTTGCCAGGCTGGAGTGCAGTGGCGTGATCTCAGCTCACTGCAACCTCCGATTCCCTGGTTCAAGCGATTCAGGCATGCACCACCAGGCCCAGCTAGTTTTTGTGTTTTTAGTACAGACAGGATTTCTCCATATTGGTGTAGAGGCCACTCACATTCCCGGATCCTGCTCCTTCCCTTGACTTTTTCTGTCCTCAAAGCCCTCAGCTGGCTCTGCCCTCAGGCTGCCCTGGCCTCACACCTTTCTCTGACACTGTGCTTCTGTCCCCTCTTCCACCTTTAGGAGCCGTGTGACGACATCCCCAGATAATGCAGGGTAACGTCTCTATCTCAAGTCAGTGGACTAGCAACCCTAATTCCATCTGCAATTTTAATTCTCCTCTTGCCATGTAAACTAACATAGTCACACGGCCCAGGGATTAGGAAGCAGACAGCTTTGGGGCTACCATTCCGCCTTGTCTCAGGAAGCTGGAGCTCTGCCTCAGTGTCCTCTAACCCATTGAATCCGGCCCAGCTGGACTGCCTGGGATCATCTCCTTTACTTAAAGTCAACTGATATGAAATTTAATCACATCCAGTAAATACCTTCTAGCAACACGAGGTGTGTGTTTGATAGAACAGCTGGGACAGCCTCACTAGGTTGACACAATAAAAAGACCACCACAACCCACCCCCTGTTAACTTGGCACCCATACATATCCCCTTAAATCATACTTGTCTTGGTCTGTCTTTTTAAATTTATGATTTATTTATTTATCTAGAGACAGGGTCTCACTTTGTTGTCCAGGTTGGCCTTGAACTCCTGGCCTCCAGGGATCCTCCCACCTGGCCTCCCAAAGTGCTGGGATTACAGGTGCAAGTCATGTGCCTGGCCAACCAGGAGGAACTTTAATTCCTTCTTAACTGATCCCTCCATTCCACAATAGCATGATCTCAGCTGCTATATTTGTACAACCTGATCTCTTATTTCTTGCCACACCTTGTTCAAGCTGGAGTGGGCACCTGACCCAAGTTGACTCGCTGTGGGAACCTTGGTTGGGAGCTTAGAGTTGGAACTTTCTCACTCACATCACAGCCTCCTAACTTCAGGACTTTTATTTCTTCTGCAGTGAAAACATGTGGACTCCAACCAAGAACCCAACCACACGTCTCCCTGGTGCCCGCCTGGATCTCTCACCTCCTGCCCTGGGGCTTCCCTGTCACCAGGAGGCATCAGAGTCCTCTGAGATCACACATGAACCATGCAGCTGTGCACAGAGTTAACATTCCCTGCACCTTTGACTAATGAGAGGCACTCACAGGCAGATTCCTCTCTTTCCTTCCTGATGCAGTCCACATGGCTTCTAGGGACATCCCGAGAGGTGGGGCAGGCACACTTAGCAATGCCATCTTACTGAGATGGCCCCATATCCATCAGCACTCCCCCTCCTTCTCCCACTCCTCCCCCTCCTCTTCCCCTCCTCTTCCATCTCTCTCCTCCTCCTGCTAGGGCACTCTCTGACTCCCACTACGGGCACTGCACCCCATCTCAGAGTAGAGGCACCTACGGCTTTGTCTCAGGTTGTATTTCTGGGGAACCCAGGCCAAGGCTGGAGCCAAGAACTGGTCACGTGCATTTGGGATCTGTGAGCATCCACCTTCCAACCACTACAGGAAAAGCACAGCAAGGAAAGGTGAGAAAGCAGAAGTAACAGGTAGAAAAACAAATACCAGCAGAACAGGGAGACAGCTCTCCCCGAGCAGGAAACACAGCATGCATTTTTGGATTAAAATTCCTCCATTCCCTCACCAGACACCAACTCTGTGGTGCCATGATCTTGGGCGCTCAGCTTCCAGAACTGTAATAAATTTCTCCTGTTTAGAGCCACCCAGTCTATGCTGCTTTGTTATAGCAGCCTTAACAGACTAAGACAGTTACCTTATGTGAAGAAAAAGAGTCTTAGCAGATCTAAGTTCTTGAGATGGGATCATCTTAGATTATCTGAAGGGGCCCTAAATCCAATAAGCAGTGTGCTTACAAGAGACACGCAGAGAACAGACCCAGAAAGAGGCAGTGTGAACACAGAGGCAGGGATGGGAGTGAAGCAGCCACACAGCCACAGTCATAGAATGCTGGCAGCCCCCAGAAACTGGGGAGGCAAAGAATGGCGCGGCCATGGCCCTATTGCTCCCTTGAATTTTGGCCTTCTGTCCTCCAGAACTTCAAGAGAATGAATATCTGTTGTTTTAAGCCACCAGGTTTATGGTAATGTGTTACAGCAGCCACAGGCAACAGTATAAGGACTTCCTTATAATAAATTACTTTTTTTTTTTTTGAGACGGAGTCTCGCGCGCTCACCAGGCTGGAGTGCAGTGGCGCGATGTCAGCTCACTGCAACCTCTGCCTCCCAGGCTCAAGTGATTCTACTGCCTCAGCCTCTTGAGTAGCTGGGATTACAGGCGCACACCACCACACCCGGCTAATTTTCTATATTAGTAGAGACGGGGTTTCACCATGTTGGCCAGGCTGGTCTCGAACTCATGACCTCAGGTGATCCGCCTGCCTCGGCCTCCCAAAGTGCTGGGATTACAGGTGTGAGCCACCATGCCCAGCCAAATTACTCTTTCTTAACTTAATGATGCCATGAATTGATGTGGTGGCTTTGCAGCATGTGGAGCTGGCTAAGCTGACCCAGGTTTACTAGAGTTCTTCCTGTGTTTCTGCAAGACCATGAGGGAGGCGCTGGCGGAGGCTTGGGGAGAGGCAGGGAGCTGCCACTGTGTTGTGGCTCACACGTGTTGTGGGTCTGACAGCTTACACTGTTAACACCACCATGGCCAGGACTGCCACTACTGCCTTCTTCTTGTCAACCTAAAATAATCAAAAGGAACAGAATCTAGTTTAGAGAGTTTATTCAAGCAAAAAGTTTGAGGATGGGCCACCTGGGAAGCACCCATCTCAAAGAACAGAAGTCAGTGTTCCAAAGTGTAGATGTTTGGGAATGCTTATTTAGACAAAGGTTAGGGAAGTGTAACAAAATTTCATCATCTTTCTGTGGAAGACTTCATGCATAGTTATGATGATCTGATTAGTCAAGTTGGTCTTTTTCTTCCAGGCAAGGCATATTTAACATTCCACACTGAGGTTGTACTAGTGATAGGGTCTTGAGCACCGTCTGGTCCACATTAGGTACCGGACAGCAAAGGAGGCAGTTCATCTACAACAAAACCAGTGATTGGAAGTGGGGAGGTCTGGTCTCTGGTCTCTCTTAGTCATTTACAGAACAAGAACAATGAGGAAGAGAGTGAATCTGAGAAGAATTGCAGTCGTACGACCTGACAGTCTCCAGGGCTCAACTTCCTCCCTGGCGTAATAAATCCAGACAGTCCTGAAGTTTTACTTTCATTGACTCTCTGGATCCTGTGGCTCCCGAAGGAGGCATCTGGCTCATCTTCATGATGAGAGGCCCTAGCTTCTGCAGCACCTCCACACCACCAAGGCCAGAAGCAGCAAGAACTGACGCAGGTTTAGGTCCCTCCCAAACCTCCTGTGGACAGTAGGCTCCAGCGTCGGATGCAGACAACAGGCAGCCCTATGGAAACTGACGAATCAGTTTACACAATTAACTGTGTAAGAGCAAAGCCCTGCAGCAAGTCCACGATTATCCACAGGTATGGGTGTATGGGTAATATATATATACACACATATATATGTATGTATATGTGTGTCACACACACACATGTATATTAATGGCTCTGCTCTTGGACTGATACAGATTTTGGTACAGAGAGAGGATGCTGCTGTAGCAAAACCTAACAGGTGGGCATGGCTCTGGGACCAGGGTTTGAGGAGAGTGTTGATGACACTAAAGTGCTTTGAACACACTGTTCTTAGACTTTGGACTTTGAGGACATTGCTGAAGAGGGCTTAAAAGAAAGTGAGAAGAATGTTGTTATTGGAAATTGAAGGAAGACTTTCACTAAGTAGCAGCAGAAAGTTTAGCCCTGCTGTTACCTGACGTTACATGGATAGGACAGAATATACATAATAAACGGGTGACCTAGCTAATGAGATTTTCCAAACAAAGTATTCAAGATGCTGCCTGGTTTCTTCCTGCTGGGTATAGTAAAATGTGAGAGGAGAGCATTAACTGAGAGAAAGATTTAAAAAAAAAAGGAGACAGAATTAATGGTTTTGAAATGTTTTAGCCTCCCCATACGGCAAATGATGCTAAAATAAGAAAATGACTATCGAGCAAGGATAAACTATATGGCACTGCCAAGAAAATGTGCTCTAGAGACGATGCTCAGGATGTGATTGGAAACTCTTTATTTTTGAGATTGAGTCTCGCTCTGTCGCCCAGGCTGGAGTGTAGCGGTGTGATCTCAGCTCACTGCAACCTCCACCTCCCGGCTTCAAGCGATTCCCCTGCCTCAGCCTCCTAAGTAGCTGGGATCACAGGCATGCGCCACCATGCCCGGCTAACTTTTGTATTTTTAGTAGAGACAGGGTTTCACCATGTTGGTCAGGCTGGTCTCGAACTCCTGACCTCGTGATTCGCCTGCCTCTGCCTCCCAAAGTGCTGAGATTACAGGTGTGAGCCACCGCGCCCAGCTGGAAACTCTTTTTTATTTTGAGACATGAACTTACTCTGCCGCCCAGGCTGGAGTGCAGTGGCACGATCAAGCTCACTAGACCCTCGACCTCCTGGGCTCAAATAATCCTCCCACCTCAGCCCCCGAAGTTTTTTTTTTTTTTTTTTTTTTTTTTTTTTTTAATATGAGACGGAGTCTCGCTCTGTCGCCCAGGCTGGAGTGTAATGGTGCGATCTCGGCTCACTGCAACCTCCGCCTCCTGGGTTCAAGCGGTTCTCCTGTCTCAGCCTCCTGAGTAGCTGGGATTACAGGTATGCACCACCATGCCCAGCTAGTTCTTGTATTTTCAGTAGAGATGGGGTTTCACCATGTTGGCCAGGCTGGTCTCGAACTCCTGACCTCAGATGATCCACCTGCCTCGGCCTCCCAAAGTGTTGGGATTACAGGCGTGAGCCACCGTGCCCAGACTAATTTTTGTATTTTTTGTAGAGATGCGGTTTCACCACGTTGGCCAGGCTAGTCTTGAACTCCTGGGCTCAAGCGATTCGCCTGCCTCGGCCTCCCAAAATGCTGGGATTACAGGTGTGAGCCACTGAGCTTCTGATGTCAAAAAGATTAATAAATGTTGCCTCAGAGTACCCTTTAGTGACACTAAAGGCTCTGTGAATAGATTAAGGGTGTGTCTCACAGAATCTCTCCAACAATAGGGTCTTTTTTCCCTTCTTTTTTAGGATGAAGTTTTGCTCTTGTTGCCCAGGCTGCAGTGCAATGGTGCAGTCTCGGCTCACTGCAACTCTGCCTCCTGGGTTCAAGAGATTCTCCTGCCTCAGCCTCCCAGGTAGCTGGGATTAGAGGTGCCCACCACCACGCCTGGCTAATTGTTTTGTATTTTTAGTAGAGACGGGGTTTCACCATATTGGCCAGGTTGGTCTTGAACTCGTGACCTCCAATAATCCGCCTGCCTTGGCCTCCCAAAATGCTGGGATTACAGGCGTGAGCCACCGTGCCTGGTCCCAGTCCATTTTACAGATAGGATAGGGCGATGTGCAGCACGGCCTTAGCTTTTCCACACACATGAGCAAAGGAACAGCTCTTAGATTCAGTGTAAAGATGTCTTTTCATTCAGAAAACTCAAGCAGTTTGAGACTCATCCAAGTTGTTACAAAGTCATGTTTTCCTTTCTGTGCAGTATTCCATTGGGTAAATTGAAGCTGTTTATTCATTCACCAGTTGATGGTCATGTGGACTGTTTCTAGTTTTTGGCACTTATTCGTAAAGCCACTATAAACATTTGTGTACAGGTTTTTGTGTGAATATACATTTCATTTCTCTTGGGTAAACACCTAGGAGTGGGATTGCTGGGTGATAAGTTGTTTAACATTGTAAAAATATGTTTAATAAAGATATGTTTAACAGTGTAAAAGACTGAAAAACTCTTCCAAATTGGCTGTACCAAGGCTGGGCACGGTGGCTCACGCCTGTAATCCCAGCACTTTGGGAGGCCAGTGCAGGATTGTGCTTGAGCTCCAAAGTTTGAGACCACCCTGGGCAACATAGCGAGACCCCATCTATATTTTAAAAATAAGGCCGGGGGCAGTGGCTCATGCCTGTAATCCCATCACTTTGGGAGGCCCAGGTGGACGGATCACTCGAGGTCGGGAGTTCAAGAACAGCCTGGCTAACACGGTGAGACCCCATCTCTATTAAAAATACAAAAATTACCTGGGCATGATGGTGTGCGTCTGTGGTCCCAGCCACTCAGGAGACTAAGGCAGGAGAATCACTTGAACCTGGGAGGCAGAGGTTGAGGTGAGCTGAGATCACACCATTGCACTCCAGCCTGGGGGACAGAGCGAGAATCTGTCTAAAATAAATAAATAAATAAAAATAAAAATAAAAGAATAAATAAAAGAAATACAAATTAAAAGATCACTCAGATGCTGTTTTACTCATTCAATTATAAAAACAGAAGTGACCCCTGGATTCTGTTGGGAAGCACCATACTGGTGTCCGGCTCCACCTTGTTCGTGGTCCCCCATAGGAGGGCACCTGGCCCAAAGCCACCTGCAGCTTTAAAGACATTGTGTAACCTAAGAAACCTCCTGGGATGTGCTGCTAGGAAAGTCATCTGCAAACACACACCAGGTGAGATCGCACCACTGCAATCCAGCCTAGGTGACAAAGCAAGGCTCCGTCTCAAAAAAAAAAAAAAACAAAACAAAAACCAAAAAAACCCAAATTGGCTGTACCATCTGCATTTCCACCAGTAATGTAAGAAATTCCCAGTTGCTCCACACCCAGCCCCACACTTGATACAATTCAATGAGTTTTGTCACATGCATGTACCTGTGGGACCAATGAAGACACAGAACACACCCATCACCCCCAGAAATTTCCCCCAACCCCCTTTCAGGTAACATGTCATGGCCAGAGGCAACCACTGTTGCAATTTCTATCACTGGAGACTAGTTTTACCAGTTCATTAACTTCATGTAAATGGAATAATAACGGATCCTTTTAAGTCTGGCTTTTTTTTCGACATAAAGTTCCTGGAATTCTCTTATGTCGTTATGTGGATGAGCTGTGTTTTCACAGCTGAACTGCATTCCACTGCGTGCATATACTTCAGTGTTGATCCATCTACCTCTTCACCGTCATCAGGATGTTTCTAGCTTTTAGCTCTTATGAATATTCAGATACAAATCTCTGCGTGGACGCATTTAAAAATTCCTCTTGGATAAATACCTAAGGGTGAACTGCTGCTTCTCAGGGGTAGATACATGTTAACCTTTGTAAGAAAATGCCATATAGTTTCCCCAAGTGCTTGTACCATCTTGTAATTTCCAGTTGCTCTAAATCCTTGAAAATTATTTGACATGCCGGTCTTTTTATTTTAGCCATGCCAGAGGCTGTGGTGCTCGTGCGGTTTAATTGGCCATTTTTGTGCCTTCCTTGCCTCTTTGTGCTCATTAAAAAAAATGTCTTGGGCTGGGTGCAATGGCGCACACCTGTAATCCCAGCACTTTGGGAGGCTGAGGCCAGAGGACTACTTGGGCCCAGGAATTCACATCAGCCGGGGAACATAGTTAAGACTTCATCTTTTTAATTTTTATTTTCTTTAATTTTTGAATCAGAGTCTTGCTCTGTCACCCAGGCCGAAGGGCTGTGGTGTGATCTTGGCTCACTGCCACTTCCAACTCCCAGGTTTAAGCAATTCTCATGCCTCAGCCTTCCCAGAGTAGGTGGGACTACAGGTGTCTGTCACCACACCCAGCTATTTTTTGTATTTTTAGTAGAGATGGAGTTTCACCATGTTGGCCAGGCGGGTCTCAAACTCCTGGCCTCAAGTGATCGGTCTGCCTAGGCCTTCCAAAGTGCTGGGATTATAGGCATGAGCCACTGCACCTGGCTGAAAACCCAACTCTTCCAAAAAAACACAAAAGATTAGCCGCATATGGTGGTGCATACCTGTAGTCTCAGCTACTCAGGAGGCTGAGGGAGGAGTGCTTGCTCCCCGGAGGTTGAGGCTTCAGTGAGCCAAGACTGTGCCAATGCGCTCCAGCATGGGCAACAAAGCAAGACCTTGCATCAATGAAAAAAAAAAAAGCTTGTCTTACTAATTTAAAATGCCTTCATACACTCTGAACATAGTTACTTCTGGACACCCTGGGCAACAGTGGTTGCCTCTGGGCATGACATGGTTCCTGAAAGGGGCTAAGGGGAAATGTTCTCTCCCAGTCTGTGGCCTGTATTACCATTTTCCTAGCAATGTTTTTTGGTGATGTCCAATTCACCAATAATTCCTTTTTTTTTTTCCTTTTGAGACGGAGTCTTGCTCTGTCACCCAGGCTGGAGTGCAGTGGTGTGATCTCGGCTCACTGCAACCTCTGCCTCCCAGGTTCAAGCGATTCTCCTGTCTCAGCCTCCTGAGTAGCTGGGACTACAGGTGTGCGCCACCACGCCCGGCTGATTTTTGTATTTTTAGTAGAGACGGGGTTTCCCCATATTGGTCAGGCTGGTCTGGAACTCTTGACCTCAGGTGATCCACCCACCTTGACCTCCCAAAGTGCTGGGACTGCAGGCATGAGCCACCGTGCTCGGCCCCTTTTTTGATTTTATGTAAGAAATCTTTGTCTACCCCAAGTTTGTAGTGTTAATTTCCCATGTTTGCTTCTAGAAGCTTTCTAGTCCTAACTTCCACATTTTGTTGTTTCCAGTTCTAGCTTTCATATTTTTTTTCTTTTTCTTATTTTTTTCTGAGACAGAGTCTCGCTCTGTCGCCCAGGCTGGAGTGCAGTGGCATGATCTCAGCTCACTGCAACCTCCGGCCACCCAGGTTCAAGCAATTCTCTGGCCTCAGCCTCCTGAGTAGCTAGGATTACAGGTGTGTGCCACCACGCCCAGCTAATTTTTGTATTTTTAGTAGAGACAAGGTTTCACCACATTGGTCAGGCTGGTCTCGAACTCCTGACCTCATGATCCACCCACCTTGGCTTCCCAAAGTGCTGGGATTGCAGGCATGAGTCACTATGTGTGGCCTTTTTTTTTTTTAAAGATAGTCTCACTCTATAAAAAGAAAATATGGAAAAATTTAATAGTAAGCATAATTCTATTCAAAATATAACTGGTTAGCTCACAAAAATTGCTCAGAAATATTGCCAGGCACAGTGGCTCACGCCTGTAATCCCAGCACTTTGGGAGGCTAAGGCGGGTGGATCACCTGAGGCCAGGAGTTCGACACCAGTCTGGCCAACAAGGTGAAACCCTGTCTCTACTAAAAATACAAAAATTAGCTGGGCGTGGTGGTGCACGCCTGAGATCCCAGCTACTCGGGAGGCTGAGGCAGGAGAATCACTTGAATCCAGGAGGCAGAGGTTGTAGTGAGCCGAGATCGTGCTACTGCACTGCAGCCTAGGTAACAGAGTGAGCCTCCACATTTCAAAAAACAAGGAAATACCAAACAATAGTATGTACCAACAGTTGGCCCTAAGTGAAGTTGGCCTTTTACATTTATCGCTATCAGTTGAAGCTATTTTCCATGTAGAACTTCTCAGGCACAACAAAACATATATACATTTCTTTCTTTCTTTTTTTTTGTTGGAGACAAGGTCTTGCTCTGTTGTCCAGGCTGGAGTGCAGTGATGCAATCATGGTTCACTGCAGCCTTGACCTCCCGGTCTCAATCGATCCTCCCACCTCAGCCTCCCAAGTAGCTGGGACCACAGGCATGTGCCACCATGCTTGGCTAATTTTTTTTTTTCGGAGTCTTGCTCTGTCACCCAGGATGGAGTGCAGTGGTACAATCTAGGCTCACCGCAACCTCTGCCTCCTGGGTTCAAGTGATTCTCCTGCCTCAGCCTCCCAAGTAGCTGGGATTACAGATGTGGGCCACCACACCTGGCTAATTTTTTTGTATTTTTAGTAGAGACGGGGTTTCACCACATTGGCCAGGCTGGTCTTGAACTCCTGACCTCAGATGATCCGCCCACCTCGGCCTCCCAAAGTGCTGGGATTACAGGGGTGAGCCACCGTGCCCAGCCCTTGGCTAATTTTTAAGTTGTTTTTGGAGAGATGGGGTCTCATATGTTGCCTAGGCAGGTCTTAAACTGCTGGCCTCAAGGAATCCTCTCACCTCAGTCTTTCAAAGTGCCAGGATTACAAGCTTGAGAAACTACACCCAGCCAAAATATAAACATTTCTAGGACAGCTACATCTAAGACAACTTTTAGGGAAGACAACATGTAAAACTCTATATAAAAAGCTTCTGTGACTGTAGGACAGCAGCAAAAGGATAATAAAATGATTTTAAGTCCTTTAATTTATTTTGAATATCAGTAATTACATTTTCAAAATATGATATAATTTAAAGGTATCAGTACCATAAATCTGTATCTTACAGTAGGAAATGTAAGAGTAAACAGCCTATATACACTTTGTACTACTGACACAATTTTATGTATACAACTCTATACAGTATCTACTAATCTCCAGAAAACCCACCTACAATCCATCTGTCTGGACTGTGGGCAAGTGGTTCTTTCTGAGTCAGGGTCTCACTCTGTCACCCAGGTTGCACTGCAGTAGTGCAATCATGGCTCACTGTAGCCTTGACCTCCTGGGCTCAAGTAATCCTCCCATCTTTGCCTCCTGAGTAGCTGGGACTACAGGTACACACCACCATGTCTGGATACATTTTGTATTTTTGGTAGACACCGGGTTTCACCATGTTGCCCAGGCTGGCCTCAAACTCCTGGGCTCAAGTGATCTGCCTGTCTTGGCCTCCCATCGTGCTGGGATTAGAGGCATGAGCGACTGTGCCAGGCTGACTGTGGACAAGTTTTACAAATAAACCAAAATAAAAATATTTTCACTTTTCAGCTGCACATGGTGGAAATGTACATGTATGATGACAAAGTCGGAGATATTTATTACGCTGAAGACATTTAACTTTGTTCCATGCCAGCCATGAGTGACAACGCTAGAGATTCCACTGTGGGAAGAATAAAAATAAGGTTAAAACAATAGGTTTAAATGTTGAAAAAAAATTTTTTTTGAAGACGGAGTCCCACTGTCACCCAGGCTGGAGTGCAATGGTACAATCTCAGCTCACTGCAACCTCTGCCTCCCGGGTTCAAGCAATTTTCCTGCCTCAGCCTGCTGTGTAGCTGGGATTTCAGGCATGTGCCACCATGCCTAGCTCATTTTTGTATTTTTAGCAGAGACAGGGTTTTGCCATGTAGGCCAGGCTGGTCTTCCAACTCCTGACCTTAAGTGATTCACTCAACCTCCCAAAGGGCTGGGATTAGAGGCATGAGCCACCGCGCCAGGCCAGGAGCTTTAAATTCCTAAAAAAATTTTTAAAAAGACTAGATTTTGAAAAGAAATAGTTACAAAAACTACACGATAGTGAAGTGTGACAGAAATCTATTCTGCCATCAACTTTATTTAATAGGAGTTTTAGAAATCTGTTGTAATAAATGGTATACCAGAAAGTAAGATCCTCAGGCTTACACTCACCTCACCGTAATGCTTAAAAAGCAATTCAAAGCATGGGACAACTGCTAAGGGACTTTTCAGTTTTGAAAATGGTGAGAATTTCTAATTCTTCATGGGATCAGTAACAAAACAATGACACATACACTTAGTTACAAGGAAATACAGAGGTAGAAATATTTTAACATGATATACTCACAATGGGGAAAGGATCCTCTACAGACGGCTTTGTTTAAAATGGTTACAAGAAACATATGGCAGTTTTTAAAATCAGATTCCATTTTCTCTATAGATTCCATTCTAGGAATAAAAGTAAATTTCAATTAAGTAAGTGCATTGCGGGTATATAGGTAGGCTTCAAGATATCTGTGGAGTAATTTCAAATGTATTTTGGTTTAATTATTTAAAATCCTAAATCTAAAGATTATAAAATAAAACACATAACGTCCTACCCTACTTTAAAATAAAAAATGTCAAAGTGTTTCAAAGGAAGTTTCATTAGGATATAAAACTGTGCTGTTTCCAGATAGTATCTAGTTCTGGAACTAGGAGGACCAAAGATACTCCCTTTTCCTTTATACAGTCTTGTTTTTATTGTTTACAAGCATACATTCTCTTTGAAATAAAGAACACATTAAGGATATAAAACTTAAAATCTGAAATTATTTTTAAAAAGGTTTTTTTTCTTTTTGAGATGGAGTCTTGCTCTGTCGCCCATGCTGGAGAGCAGTGGCACGATCTCGGCTCACTGTAACCTCCGCCTCCTGGGTTCAAGTGATTCTCCTGCCTCAGCCTCCTGAGTAGCTGGGATTACAGATGCCCACCACCATGTCTGGCTAATTTTTGTATTTTTTGTAGAGATGGGGTTTCGCCATGTTGGTCAGGCTGGTCTCGAACTCCTGACCTCAGCTGATCTGCCCCCACTGGCCTCCCAAAGTGCTGGGATTGCAGTTGTGAGCCATGGAGCCTGGCTGCCTTTTTTTTTTTTAGACAGAGTTTCGCTCTTGTTGCCCAGGCTGGAGTGCAATGTAGCGATCTCGGCTCACCACACCACAACCTCTGCCTCCTGGGTTCAGCAATTCTCCTGCCTCAGCCTCCCAAGTAGCTGGGATTACAGGCATGCACCACCACGCCTGGCTAATTTTGTATTTTTAGTAGAGATGGAGTTTCTCCATGTTGGTCAGGCTGGTCTCGAACTCCTGACCTCAGGAGATCCGCCCACCTCAGCCTCTCAAAGCACTGGGATTACAGGCGTAAGCCACTGTGCTCGGCTTTCTTTCTTTCTTTTTTTTTTTTTTAAAGAAATATCAAACACTTTGTAAGAGAGAACTTCAGAAGGGGTTTCCATGGCCCACTGCCCAGCCATGGCAGGTGCCACATGCCAAGCTTACACCTCCACAGCCCCACCACAATATTCAGAAGCAAACAGGAGACATCAGAGCACCACAGTCATGAATATTTCATAAGTATAAATGTATACTTTAAAGATAAAGACTCCTTTCAAAACACAGCCACAACACCATTTGCTCAAAAATATCATCTAATAGCATTCAAGCAAATTTCACATTGCTTCTACAATTTTTCACTTTTCGGCTTTAAGTCTCAATCAGGAACAATTAACTTATCCATAAACTGCGATGGTTGATAGACTTCTTAAGTTCCTCACCCCCTGTATTTTTCTCACATTTATTTGTAAAAAAAACCTGAAAGAGTTGAATTTCAGCAAAGCATATGCAGCAGTGTTATTTCTCCTCCACCCCAAAGTGAGACAAAAAAAAAAGAAAAAAAAAAAGCAAAATATATTTTGCACACTTTGAGCCAGCAATATAAAGCGAGGAAGACTTCTATTTCCATCCCTGCAGCTATGGCTTCATCTACTACCTTAGTTTCTTGATTCCGAGTACAGCCAATGGGAGATTTCGAATTATACTAGCACTCAAATGAATTCTTACTTCCTTACTGACATGGAGTAAGTACAGTCAACCAAACATGCACTTTTATTTCATGGAAGTAACAGCAGAATTACTGTTGCACTGACTTTATAAACAGGACAGGTAACAAAATATTGAGCTGTACACTGGAGTTAACAGTAGAGGATGGCAGTGCTAGAGGGAGCTGCTCCCGGGCCACTTCCCCTGATTCAGTGCACTTGCCTATGTGATGTGTGTGAATAACAAACACTCTCAAAACACAGCATCTTTTAGAGCTCATCCAAAATACAACTTTGGAGAATAGTCTAGCATGATGTCCAGAATTTGATTTAAAATAATTCAGCAAGTGTGACTGGGGAGGTGGGCACAGACATGACAGAGCTGTCCTCACTGGCACAGCTGAAGCAGGTGCCATCACGGTGTTCACAACACTGTCTTTGCCACTTCAGTTTGAAGGTGTCCATGATAAAAATTTAACAAAACGTACACAATATAACATGAGTATAATCTAAAAATGTTTGCTTGTTTAAATCAGAAGACCTCAGATTTTTAAAAATGTTTTACTTCTCAAAAAATACTTGCACTTTTTTTTTTTTTTAAAGACTGGGTTTTGCTATGTTGCCCAGGCTAGTCTTGAACTCCTGGGGTCAAGCAATCCTCTCCTCTCAGCCTCCTGAATGGCTGGGAAGACCCTGTCTCTAAAAAAAAGGGAAGCTGAAGCTGAAATGGTCACAGTGCAGATGCTGCAGAAATCACATACTTACCGCCAAGTGCCCAGGCCTGCCTGCCAACCGTCTGCAAACATGAGAGCCAAGTTCAACACCTTCATGATAGCTTCTTTCACAAAGCTGACCTGCAGACCAAAGTCACAGAACACAAACTGTGTAACTAGGTTTGGACACTGATACCAACACTTTTACCTATTTTAAATGAATCACAGAAAAAGTTCATCACCACAGTGACTGCCTTCTGTGTATATGGAAGGGTACTAGGCTCTGAACCATGCCCATTTGGGACCAGGCACATGCATTCACTGAATGTAAGATACAAGTGATATTAGCAGTACAGTCAAACCAACAAAACAAACTATTAAGACCTTTTCCTGGGATGGCCATTTAAATTCACCAATGAAACTAGGACAAATAATTGCAATGGTTTTAACATTACTGAATTCTATCTATTCACATGAAGTGGACATGCTATTGCTCCGCAACTGCAGACACAATTTTCCAAATGAATCCAAGAGTAACGCAGAGTGAGTGTTGACTATCACACATAGTTCTCATGTTGCTCTTAGATACAATTTCTACGAATAGGGCACTCCTCCTTCTGTTTTTTTTTTTTTTTTTTTTTTTTTTTTTAAGAGACAAGGTCTTGCTCTGTTACCCAAGCTGGAGTGGAGTGCAGTGGTGTCAGATCATAGTTCACTGCAGCCTCAAACTCCTGGCCTCAAACAATGCTCCCACCTCAGCCTCCCAAGTAGCTGGGCCTCCAGGTATGCACCACCATGTCTGCTAATCTTTTTAACTTTTTGTAAAGACAGAGTCTTGCTATGTTGCCCAGGGTGGTCTTGAACTCTTGGCCTCATAAGATCTGCCTGCCTCAGTTTCCCAATGTGCTGGGATTACAGGCATGAGCCATTGTGGCCGGCCTGGGGCATTTGTTTGTAACCTCATTTCATCTGGTTCTTCCTTAAAGAATATTCTACAGGACAGAAGCTTAATCATCATAAAATTCCAAAGCACGCAGACAGCGCCACTCGCCCAGCAGTGGCCACATCTGCAGGAGACATCTCATGTACCTTTTCTCTCAGCAGACACCGGTCATGGATGGTTGACAGATACCTATAGTGAATTTTAATCAATTGATCTAAATCCTTGGCTTCCTCGACTTGATGTTGAAACTCCAGCCCTGTACTGTGTAGAATCTTGGAAGAGAAAGATAAAAAGCTTCATCAGCAGCCTTCTTTGAGGACTTGTGTGCTGCACACAAATCTTTTTTACTAAGCTCTTCTACTCCTCTCAAATTCTTCCTTCAATAAGCACATCTAGACAGTTTCATAAAGTACCATTCTTCAAAGGCTGGCTGGATACTCTGGCGTTCTGATCCTAAGAGGACGGCGGGGGCAATCCTGTAGGACGCCCACTTGCACAGTGAATGAATGAACGCCAAACTCTGGACTAACAGACTTCCTGGCAGGAAGGGGCAAGCACATTAAGCTGTATATAAGACACATCGATAAAAAAAAAATCAAGTAAATGTGTTACTTTTATACAAATAATTACAGTGAATTTATGTTTCTTAAGTTCCTTTTCTCATACATTGATCTTTCTCTAAAATGAGTATAAGTATACCTCAAATAAAAAACAAACTAAGAAAAAACTTAAACTCTTATCATTTACTCTTAACAATTAGGGGCTTAATGAAGGCCAACCTTGTGAAGGCAGTAATGCAGTCAGGGGAAACGTGGAGCCCCTCTGCCATAGCCTTCCCATCCAAAACACAGGCTTCAGTGGCTCACTTCACCCAAGCAAGTTGGGTTTCAGAACTCACAGACCAGGTATAAACAGGTCTAAACAACAATTCAAACCCCAAATGCATACTGTCCTCTAATAATACTGCTCTTGTTCCAATTTCTGAACGCTTCTTTTAGAACTTCCCCTAGAACTGGCTTTTAGATGTATCAGAAAAATAATTTCATTTACTTTGTAGTGAGTTCTTGTTTTTAAGAAAAAAGTCTATAACCTGGCTGCATCTTCCTCCCACACACCGTAGTGGATTTTGGCTGTTATTAAACATTGGAGCCATTTTTTAGGGACAGCTGTCACCACTATTGAAACCTAAAGGACTATGCGGCACATTCTGAAGGCAATTCCAGAAGACGAGCTGTGGCTGTGCCTGTCCCCAGGGGCTGCTGGACTGGAGGGACAACAGCCTCTGGATACACATATTCCGGTATATTTACAAAAACATTCCTCCCACTGCCATGTTATTTTATGATCAAATTTGCTACATGTCCCGTTTTCACAGTCTGTAGGTATTTTTTACTTATAAACATAGTATGAGTAATTCTCTACGAACAACTGTATAGATACGACGATAGAACTGAAGCAGATGGGAGAGGCACAAACCCTGGTCATGATGTAGTTGTGCAAGCTGTTCACGAAATGCATGAGCTTCACTCTTAAGAGGAACATGCGATGAATCTGCTGTCTTACTGGTTCTTTTTGTGGTCCGAACTGAGCAACTGTGTCTTGTTCATGTATAAGGCCTTCTTTAAGTCGTGGTTTTTCTGCAGTACTAACCAGTTCTATAAAACATTGGAAGAGCAAAGTGGACAGAAAGAGCATCAACTCAAACCCCACTGCACCATGACGCCTGGCAGAAACACTGACGGATGTGGTCCTGGCACCACAGAAAGCACTGGCAGGGGTGGCAGGAACCGAACCTCAGTGCCTCTGGAAGGTGCAGTGGGAAAAGTTTCCTGTATCACTTTTCCTAATCAAGTTGTTGCATTTCAGATCAACTGTACATACAACTTCCTGATCTTTCTTTCAGGCATTTGATGTCCATAAAACTACTGCTAGAATACGCACCATTTTGGCATTTGTGTACACATAAAAAATGATCAACAACCACCAACTTTTTTTTTTTTTCCAGATCCCCGTATGCTTCCCTTTCCCATTAACCTCTTTTATTAAGGGCTAAAATTAAATAAAATTACAATTTATCTGCTGAAAACAAATCTTACCACCAAAAAGTAAAACATCCAGACTATATTTTGCCCACTTTATTTGCAATAAGAGAAGAAACACTTGATTATAAATTTTTTGACATTCCAAACTTATAACAATGTCCACGGGCCATGGGACCTATGAAACAAAAACAAAATTAGAAAGTAACCAATTACTTGCATGTTTTAATGTTAGCAGAAAACACGGTTCATACAAGGAATATCAGCATATACCTTGTAGCTGAGGGTCAGACCATCTAAGATATGAACAGGCAGCTTCTTCTTAGCTGTGTCAACATTTTCAAAAGATATAGATAGACTAAAGAAAGAAATTCCAGTTTTAGTTTGTGAAAGCACTATGTCACACAAAAATGCTCTTTTAAAATAATTGGTATTTCATTTACATAATATTCCCCAAAAGATACTGCATTTCATAAAAGAAATGCAAACATTCCAACAAATGTATCTCTTCTAACATATATTCCAGAGCAGAAATTTGGATTTAGAAACAGAGAGGGAGAAAACTTTTAAACAATGAGTTTAGTTAAAGAGACACTTAACAATGGTAGTAATTAGAAAAAGGATGAAGCTGAGGAAGACAGTAAACTTCAGGCAATGGCTGGGAAGATGAAGCCTCTGCTGAGGTTGGGGGTGGGCAGGAGAGGACGAGCAGAGCAGCTCGACGGAGCCGAGCATGTGGTGAGAGTACTGCTTCGAGAGCCCCATCGAGATGGGATGGGGTCTGCTTCTACACCAGAGGCACTGTGCAGTGCTTCATCCACAAGTTCCTGAGACAGGTTTGAATGTGACTCACAGAGGAAAGCAAGCATCTAACATGGACATGAAAATGTCCAAGTGCCAGGCACTATTATGTGTCCTTAGCTCATTTAATCCTCAAAATACTCCCATCAGTGGTTCCTGAGAAATGATGTCCTCTTCCACAGTCACAGAGGCACTAAGAGGGGATGCCTGGATGCATATGAAGAAGGTTTAAAGTGGGGAGTTAACTTCCAAATCAGAGATGTCACAGGGCAGTGTGTGATTATGAACTGGCTGATCCATGACACAGGCACTAGTCAGAATTTTTAGCTCTTTGCCGGGTGCGGTGGCTCACACCTGTAATCCCAGCACTTTGGCATCCTCGAGGATCACGAGGTCAGGAGATCGAGACCATCCTGGCTAACCCAGTGAAACCCCGTCTCTATAAAAATACAAAAAATTAGCTGGGCGCCTGTAGTCCCAGCAACTCGGGAGGCTGAGGCAGGAAAATGGCATGAACCCGGGAGGCGGAGCTTGCAGTGAGTCGAGATTGTGCCACTGCACTCCAGCCTGGGTGACAGAGCAAGACTCTGTCTCAAAAAAAAGAATTTTTAGCTCTTAATGGCCTGATATGTATGCATTCACTCAGTGCTTAGTAGGCATCTACCAAATACTAATACTAAGTTAGGTGCTGCACTGAGCAGGCAATAGAAAGCCAATCTCTCTTCCCTCCAGGGACTCCCAGCCCAGTGCAGCACACGAAGACAAGGGGGATGTAGGAATGAGCAGACCTCTGCCGGGCCCATGAACTGGAGACTATGTCACAGGGGGGCGGGAGGACAGCACTAGCAGACACCAGAAATATTCTGAAATCCCTGAAACGCGAAGGAAGACAGGAAAGAGAACATGGTGTGTATGTGTGCAAGACATGAGGCTGGGAAAATGGAGCCAGACAGTAAATAGCTTTCTCCCTTCTAAGACAAAGCTTAGTCCATCTGTTTAGGAGGCACCCACGGGGAGCATAGGGATGAGTGGTGGAAGTCACTGCTGGTGGTCTGAGGTCACCCTGGTGAGGGTCAAGTCCGTTTTGGTGGAAGGGAGTGAGGCTGAGAGACACAGAGGTCATTGGGGAGTTCTGAGCCAGTTCTGAGAGGTCAGGGGCATTCTCTAGGAGGCAGGACTGAAAAACCTCATGTGTGGGAGCTCAGGGAGAGGAAGCACTGACTCCAGCCATGTGAAGGAGGCCATCAGACCCTGACAGGTCGTATGGTGGCAACTTTTTTCTTTTTTTATAGGGACGAGGTCCCACTATGTTGCCCAGGCTGGTTGCAAACTCCTAAGCTCAAGCAATCCTCCCACCTTGGCCTCCCAAAGTGCTAGGATTACTGGCATGAGCCACTGCATCTGGCCATATGGTGGCATCTCAACGTCTTTTGTTGTTTAGCAGGAGAGTCACATAGCTAGCCTCTGCCTCAATTTTTTCTTTTTTTTTAAATGGAGTCTCGTTCTTGTCGCCCAGGCTGGAGTGCAGTGGCATGATCTTGGCTCACTGCAACCTCTGCCTCCCAGGTTCAAGCGATTCTCCTGCTTCAGCCTCCCAAATAGCCAGGATTACAGGCGCCTGCCACCATGCTTTTTGTATTTTTAGTAGAGACAGAGTTTCACCATGTTGGCCAGGCTGGTCTCGAACTCCTGACCTCAGGTGATCCACCGCCTCTGCCTCCCAAAGTGCTGGCATTACAGGTGTGAGCCACCGTGCCTGGCCTCCATTTTCTAATAAGTAAAATAATATTAGTAAAACTCATAGGAATAGTGAGGATAAAATAATATGTGTAATTCATAGAAGACTTACTGGCACATAGTTCATGTTACACTAATTTAAATAAAGGTGGCGTCCATATTTTACCGTGAACTATCTTCAGGATAACGCTGTCCTACTGCTTCTTGGAGTTGGACATTAAGAAAAGACACATTCTGCCATGTTTCCTTTTCTCTTATTTTATCAAAAATTGACGTGTAGAAGTCATACATGGTATCTCCTCCTTCCATTAAGAAAAAATTCCTCATAGCTTGCAAGTATTCTACCAACCTGAATGGAGAGAAAATGAGTGACACTAAGATCTCTGGCATTCGTAAGGCAGGATTCTGGATCAACAACAGGTTTTGTAACCTGTTTTTAGTGGAACAAGTTTACATTCTACATTTACTAAAATTAGAAATATTAACACCTCTTAAACTTGTTCCAATAATAAAAACAGCATAGGTTTTCCTTTCATCATCAGAAAGGTTATCTTCTATAACATTATAGAAAATTGGGCAGTCACAAAAATGTAACAAAAAAAAATCCAAATCCCATCATTTATGGTGGATTTCCATCATTAATATTTAATATCTGGAATGTTTCTTTCCTGTCTTCTCTTCTATGTGTTAAGAAAACCTAGTTCCTACCGTATTATATCTCCTGCTTTTTAATTGCCATAATTTTTTTTTTTTTGAGATGGAGTCTTGCTCTGTCGCCCAGGCTGGAGTGCAGTGGCCCGATCTCAGCTCACTGCAAGCTCTGCCTCCTGGGTTCACGCCATTCTCCTGCCCCAGCCTCCAGAGTAACTGGGACTACAGGCGCCCGGCACCACGCCCGGCGAATTTTTTGTATTTTTAGTAGAGACGGGGTTTCACCGTGTTAGCCAGGATGCTCTCGATCTCCTGATCTCGTGATCCTCCCACCTCAGCCTCCCAAAGTGCTGGGATTACAGGTGTGAGCCACCGTGCTCGGCCTAATTGCCATAATTTTTATGAACTTTACAAAGTTCATATGTGGGTATGTATATGCCATATTTATGGATATGCATAGTTTAAAAAACTAGTCATCTATCACTAAGTAATTTAGTGTTTTTCATTCTGATAACAAACTTTGTAATTTTTCTACAAGCTTTTTCTGTATTTCTTTTGGGAAAGATTCTCAGAAATAAAGAATTAAGTTTCAAAACATAGTTAAGAAAATATTGATGGTCAATTGATTTCTCTTAGAAAATTGTTTACTGTATATCCATTTCCTACTCTAATAAAAATTGAAATAGGTTTTAAAATAATCTCAACTGTTCTTCAAGTACAATCAACTATTTACTACTTCCAAAATTAAATTACTCTTTTACCTGTAATCTTTTTTTAGAGTTTGCATGAGATTTCCACAGCAATCTAGATACTGCTTGTCAATATGAGGATAGAGGCAGGATCTCAGCGTTAATTCAAAAGTCTGGCATGTCACAGATTCCGATGATCTATCCACACATACATCACCACCAGCAAACTTCTCGTGAAAGTCACTCTGCTCCAAATACATCCTTCAAGATAAAAATGTGAGTCTTCTTTTTATGAGCTGCTGTCAACAGAACTCTCTTAAATCAAAACCCTGAAGTTCCATTTTTACCTTTAGTCTTGAAGTTACCAACTATTACAGAAAGAGAAAAATCTTTCTCCCAAAAATATCCTTTGAGTGAACCAGTCTCTTGAAGTTGCCACTGACTTAGGGTCAGGTACTAGAGCTGGTCTTTCTAGTGATTAGGGCTGGACACAGCAAATGCTGGCCATTAGACAACCGGGAACTGTGTGGGTATTAATGACTTACTCTAATGGACTAAGTGCCTAAAAGCAGCTTAAGCCCAGGACATATTATATGCCAGTGGGGACCCTGACTCAATGGGTGTCCAGGGCCCACTCATGGCCCAGAGTTTCAGCATCTTCTGGGTAAATGATGACATTTCCAGGGGCCCGAGGGCACAGACAAAAGTTGTACCACATGGTGGCAGGGCCAAGTCTGCAGACTTCCACAAACGACATGGAATCCAAACTATACACCTGAAGTAGGTGAGCACAACATCTTGTATTCTGCTTGTTATAAAGGATAGGCATGGCATGGTGGCTCACACCTGTAATCCCAGCACTTTGGGAGGCCGAGGTGGGCAGATCACCTGAGGTCAGGAGTTCGAGGCAAGCCTGGCCAACAGGAGGAAACCCCGTCTCTACAAAAAATACAAAAATTAGCGGGGCATGGTGGCACATGCCTCTAGTCCCAGGTAGCTGGGAGGCTGAGGTAGGAAAATTGCTTAACCTGGGAGGCAGAGGTTGCAGCAGTCAGCCAAGATCACACCACTACACTCCAGCCTGGGTGACAGACTGAGGCTCCATCTCAAACAAACAAAAAAAAAAAAGGAAAAAGAAAAAAGAAAGGATAGCCTACAAGAGTTTTTGTTTTTAGCCCTACCTGCCAGAAATAAACAGTTAGCAAACATTGCACAAATGATGCCATTTCAATTACTGATAACCTTGCAGGTGTGTCTCACCTTGCAAAGTTAATGGCAAGCAGTGGATCATGAACATCATCCAGTTCAAGATGGCTTTCAGCAATGGACTGCATCTTCATCAGGTTCTCCTTGGTTGCCTGTTGCTCAGTAAGAACCTGTGGAGTGGAATCTTCTCCATGTCGAAGACGGGACTGTACAGATTCCAGAAAGAGAGTGTATAAACTTTTTCTTTCTGCATCTGAAACATAAAGAAATATGTAAGGTGAACTAAGTTCTGTTTAATCATATTAAGTAACATTCTGTTTAATCATATTAACATTAACAATATATTAAGTAACAAAATCTATATATTTATATATAAATATTAAATATATGTAAATATTAAATATATATATTTATATATAGTAACAAAATAATATATATTTTTTGAGATGGAGTTTTGCTCTTGTTGCCCAGGCTGGAGCGCAATGGCGCCATCTTGGCTCACTGCAACCTCCGCCTCCCGGGTTCAAACAATTCTCCTGCCTCAGCCTCCCAAGTAGCTGGGATTACAGGCATGTGCCACCACGCCCGGCTAATTTTATATATTTGTTTTTTAGTACAGACGGGGTTTCACCATGTTGGTCAGGCTGGTCTCAAACTCCTGAGCTTAAGTGATCCACCCGCCTCAGCCTCCCAAAGTGCTGGGATTACAGGCGTGAGCCACTGTGCCTGGCCCAAGAAATATTAAATAATATCATGTCCGGGTGCAGTGGCTCATGCCTGTAATCCCAGCACTTTGGGAGGCTGAGGCGGGTGGATCACTTAAGCTCAGGAGTTTGAGACCAGCCTGGGCAACATGGTGAAACCTCAGCTCTACAAAAAAATTAGCTGAGTGCAGTGGAATGTGCCTGTGGTCCCAAGCTACTTGGGAGGCTGAGGCACGAGAACTGCGTGAGCACTGGCAGGTGAAGGTTGCAATGCGCTGAGATCACGCCACTGCACTCCAGTCCAGTTTGGGCAATAGGAGTGAAACCTGACTCAAAAAAAAAAAAAAAAAAAGAGTAAGATCCTAATCAGCACACTTGAAATTTATTACAATACTGCATAACACTATGGTAACCCTGATAGGAGTCGCAGTCTCATTGGAAAAAACACTTCTGACAGTGGCCCTGGGAAGCTCACTACATAAGAAGGAAATATTCCACAAAGTGAAAATAAGTATTGCATCTACTTATTTCAAGTAGATACAATAATATAATTAACATAACATTGAGATGATTGAGATGTATAAATAAGGTCACATCTTTATCTTCCAAGCCTTTTTAGTCAGTTGATAAAACTTTTTTTTTTGACATGGAGTCTCACTCTGTCACCAGGCTGGAGTGCAGTGGCATGATCTCGGCTCACTGCAATCTCTGACTCCCTGGTTGAAGCGATTATCTTGCCTCAGCCTCCTGAGTAGTGGGGAATTACAGGCCCATGCCATCATGCCCAGCTAATTTTTGTATTTTTAGTAGAGATGGGGTTTTACCACGTTGACCAGGATGGTATCGATCTCCTGACCTCGTGATCTGCCTGCCTCAGCCTCCCAAAGTGCTGGGATTACAGCATAAAACTTTGAATATATTAAATTGCATCATTTTCTTGAAATTTATGATCGAGTCTGAACTGCTCATAAGAAATTCTTATCAGCCATGGTTCACGGCCCTCAAGGGCTAAACGCTGCATTGCATTAAGAAATGCCAGAAGGGCTGGTTGTGGTGGCTCACGCTTGTAATCCCAGCACTTTAAGAGGCGGGTGGATCAGCTGAGGTCAGGAGTTCAAGACCAGCTTGGCCAACATGGTGAAACCCCATCTCTACTAAAAACACAAAAAATTAGCCGGGCGTAGTGGCTCACATCTATAGTCCCAGCTACTTGGGAAGCTGAGGCATGAGAAATCACTTGAACCTGTGAGGCAGAAGTTGCAGTGAGCCGAGATCATGCCACTGCACTCCAGTCGCCAGCAAGGTGGCTGCCTGGAGACGTCTGGTGTTCCTCTCCCAACAGCAAGAGAGGACCAAAGCAACGAATCAACAGTTAAGATCCGACTGGAGGCTGGGGGTGGTGACTCACACCTGTAATCCCAACACTTCAGGAGGCCGAGGCGGGCGGATCATGAGGTCAGGGGATCGAGACCATACTGGCTAGTATGGTAAAACCCCGTCTCTACTAAAAATACAAAAAAATTAGCCGGGCACGGTGGTGTGCGCCTGTAGTCCCAGCTGCTGGGGAGGCTGAGGCAGGAGAGAACCCAGGAGGCGAAGTTCGCAGTGAGCCGAGATCGCGCCGCTGCACTCCAGCCTGGGCGACAGGGAAAGACTCCGTCTCAAAAAAAAAAGATCCGACTGGAGTTGAAGGGCGAGTGCTGGAGTGCAGAGGGGGAATGTGACACAGTGTTGGTGACTGGAGGCCCAGGAGGGCAGTGTGGAGGCTTCCAGCCTCTGCAGCTTCGCAGAACAGGCTGGTCTGGAGTCAAGAAGGACTTCCCATTGTAGGGTAAGGGTAAGCAGAAGAAACCCACCAGCCCCCACAAACACCTACAGTCATTACTACAGGAGGATTCCACAGTTCCCACGAGCTCTGAGCCCAGTTTGGAGAGCTGCTGGGAATTCACGCAGCTGCCTTGCCCCGGGTTAGGGGCACAAGGTGTGCCTTCCCCACCCACCCCTTTGAGCCAAGCTGTTGCAGCATGGCACCATCTTCAGACCAGAGCCACCTCTGGAGCACGCCCTCCTCTGGGCCAGTAGCTGCTGCACCTCTCCTGCACCCCAGCCACTGGGGCTCCATCCTCATTCCACCAAGGCCACAGGGATGGCTGAACACCACAACCCCAGCTATGTGGAGCCTGGGCCCAGGATCGACTGGTGATTCTGGTCCTGCACAGCAGAAAAACCAGCCCCTGCCACTGCACTTTCAGACAGAGGAACAGTCTGGCAGCCCCAACAGACCAAACCCATCTTTGAGCTGGCCAAATTGCTGTGCCATCTCTAGAGGGTGGGAACAGACCCCTGAGCTTCCTACCAGCTGACATGCCTCCAGGCTGGTGAAGCAGTTACAGACCTTTGCCCAGGAACTGAGAAACAGCCCCACAGCATCAACCCCTTGCAGACAGGCCCGTGGCCTACCCAGTGGCCCTGGGTCAGCATTCAGGGTCTGAGAAACAGTTTCAGAGGCTGCCCTGGCAGGCATGTACCTAGGCTTCTTGAGCGGCCTTGCACGGCATCTTTGGTTGGAGAAGAAGCCCCATAGGCAGCGCCTGGGAGTCACAGGCCAACAGAGCGGCCACAGGCCTGCATACTGGGCCTGCCAAACAGCCCTGTGGTCTGCCCTTGGTGGGCATGTTCTGAGCCAGCTGGCACCCATATCCCAAACCTGAGAAAGAGCCTTGAAGACCACCCCCAGTAATCACACCCTCATGCCAGCCAAGCAGCCTTCCACCCACATGCTGGGCCTCAGAAGCAGCCTCATGGGCTGCCACTGGCAGATACATACCTAGGACGGCCAACAAGCCATGTGACCATGTCCCAGGACTGAGAAAGAGCCCCTTGAACTGTGCAGGCAGACATGCACCCAGGCTAGCAAAGCAGCCTTGTACCCACATCCTGGGCCTAAGAAACAGCCTTATAGGTTACCCCCAGCAAACATACTCCCAGGCGAGCAAAGAAGCCTGTGCTCATGTCCAAGGCTTGAGAAATGACCCTGAGGGCTGTTCTCATGGAGCCCCTGGCCAGAAAACCAGTTTTGTGCCTACATCCTAGGCCTGAGAAACAGCCCCTTGGGCCATTGCTGGCAGGCAAATAAACCTATAGGCTGGCCAAGCAACCACATGCTCATGTTCCTGGCCAGAGTAACAGCCTGTGGTCCCAAACCCTGAGCCAGACCCCACCTTGGCCAAACCACTGTGTACATGCATGTACCCCTAATCTGAGAAACAGTCCAGCAAGCCCATCCCAGCAAAGCTGTGCTACTGTTTGTTTTTTGTTTTGGGACAGAGTCTTGCTTTGTTGCCCAGGTTGGAGTACAGTGGTATAATCTTGGCTCACTGCAAACCTCCGCCTTCCGGGTTCCAGTGATTCTTGTGCCTCAGCCTCCCAAGCAGCTGGGATTATAGGCATGCGCCACCACATCTAGCTAATTTTTATATTTTGGGTAGAGACAGGGTTTCACCATGTTGGCCAGGCTGGTCTCAAACTCCTGGCCTCAAGTAATCCACCTGCCTTGGCCTCCGAAAGTGCTGGGATTGGCTGGGCGTGATGGCTCACGCCTGCAATCCCAATACTTTGGGAGGCCGAGGCGGGTGGATTGCTTGAGGCTAGGAGTTTGAGATCAGCCTCACCAACATGGTAAAACCCGATCGCTACTAAAAATACAAAAATTAGCCAGGCGTGGTGGCACATGCCTGTAATCCCATCTACTTGAGAGACTGAGGCAAGAGAATGACTTGAACCCAGGAGGCAGAGTTTGCAGTGAGCCGAGATCATGCCACTGCACTCCAGCCTAGGTAATAGAGCAAGACTGTCTCAAAAAAGAAAGTGCTGGGATTATAGGCGTGAGCCACCACGCCCAGCCAACTGTGCCACTGTTGCCACAAACCCCCTCACTGTAGGCCACTGAGGCACTTGCAAACATCACTAAAGTGGATTACAACTGAAGAAAGTACATGGAGACTATACTACTGCATTTGTCCAGAACCAAGGTGAATGCATCCCACTGAACCCACACTCCAAGACCCATTCATATGAATAACTCTTTACAAAACGTACTCCATAAAATTGGAAAAGGTGACTTTCCCACCAGATGTGTAGAAATCAATGTAGAAATACATCAAACATGAAAAAGCAAAGAAACATGACACCTCCCAAGAAAACCAATAATTCTCTAGCAAGAGACTACAATGATATAGGAAATGCCGGAAAAATAATTCAGAATTAAAATCTTAAGGAAACTCGGTGAGATACAAGAGAACTCGGTGAGATACAAGACAGTACAAATAAACACTCAACAAAATCAGGAAAAGAATGATTTGAATGAGAAATTCAACAGAAACAGATGTTTAACAAACAAATTTTACAGTGAAAGAATTCAATGAATGAGGCCAGGCACGGTGGCTCACGCCTGTAATCCCAGCACTCTGGGAGGCCAAGGCGGGCAGATCACTTGAGGTCAGGAGTTCGAGATCAGCCTGGCCAACATGGTGAAACCTCGTCTCTACTAAAAACACAAAAAATCAGCCGGGTGTGGTGGCGGGTGCCTATAATCCCAGCTGCTCAGGAGGCTGAAGCAGGAGAATCACTTGAGCCAGGGAGGCAGAGCTTGCAGTGAGCCCAGATTGCACCACTGCACTCCAGCCTGGGTGATGGGAGTAAAACTCTGTCTCAGGAAAAAAAAAAAAAAAAGGCAAATGATCTGAACAGACATTTCTCCAAAGAAGTAATACAAATGGCCAAGAAATAGATGAAAAAATGCTCAGCATCACTAATTATTAGGGAAAATGCAAATCAAAACCACAATGAGGTATCATTTCACCCCAGTCAGGATGGTTATTTATCACGAAGACAAAAAATAAATGCTGGTGAGGATGTGGAGAAAAGGAAACTCTTACACAATGTTGGTGGGAACATAAACTAGTACAGACACCATGGAGAACAGTTTGGCGGTTCCTCAAAAAACTACAAATAGAACTACTATATGATATAGCAATCCCACTGGTGGGCATTTATCCAAAGGAAAGGAAATCAGGATATCAAAGAGACATCCGCACCCCCATGTTTACTGCAGCACTATTCACACAGCCAAGACATGGAATCAACCTAGGTGCCCAACAACAGATGAATGGGTAAAAAAATTGTGAGATATATATATATATATATGTATATATCTTGAAGATAAAAGAGTGAATCCTGTTGTTTGCAGCAACACTGATGGAAATGGTGGACATTAAGTGAAATAAGCCAGGAACAGAAAGTTAAACACTGCATGTTCTCACTCATCTGGTAGCTAAAAAATGTTGATCTCGTATTAGTAAAAAGTAGAACAGGATACCAGATGCTGGATTTTGTAGGGGGAAGGGAGAAAGAGGAAGATATTTGTTAAAGGATACAAATAGCTAGCTGGAAGGAATAAGTTCTAGTGCTCTGTATCACTATGGGATGACTATAGTTAATAATGTATTATAGAGTTGCACATAGCAAAGAAGAGGATACTGAATGTCCCCAACATAAAGAAGTAGTAAATGTTTGAGATGATGGAAGTGCTAATTATCCTGATCTGATCACTATATATGTATCAAAACATCACTATGTACCCCATGAATATGTACAATTATTATGTCAATTTATAAAAATAATAAAAGAAAAGAAATGGCAGGGGATTACTTTTTAAAGTTCCAGTCCTAAGGAATCCAGAGTGAGGAAAATGCATGTGGAACTTATCGTCACTGCCTTTTCAAACACAGCACTAAAAGTTTTCAATGAAGACAATCTTTTAAAAAATCAAGAGCAGCATGGTTACTAATTCAACCATGACGATAATTGCCACCGAAATAAGAGGGTTTGATGACTTGCAAACTACAAAATAATTAGGTATCAGGATGACAAGAGCGAGTAGGGTCAGGTGTCCCAACACCAAGAGAGACACAGGAAGACGGAACAAGTACCTCTGGCTCCTGCCTGGCAGGTGGTGCTCTCCGCACACTGCAGGTTCTTCAGCAGCTGCATCGACTTGCCAGCCATTATGATCTGCTTCAGGACAGGTTTGAGGAAGGACACCATGGTGTGCTGCCTGCTGGAGGGCCCCTGGTCACTGCCGGAACTCGCACTAGCGTTATCACTCATTTTTTCTTCATTTTCTGTCTTTTCTGATACGCTATATAACGTGTAAGTTGCATACCAGAAGTCTCTGTGATTAACTGGAACATTTTTGTTTCTAAAGAGATTCAAAAGAATTTTAAACTCTTATTTCTCTTTCTTAAAAACAGCATACTTGTTCTAGTTTGTTGTCCAGACATTATAAAACATAGTATTAATTATTAGTAAACTGAAGCAAACTTTAGGCAAAATGGGACAGTTTTAATCTCATCTCAGTTTAAAGAGAAAAGTGAATAAATACTTTGAATAGTGTAAGTAAAATTTAAGTAGAAATAGTTTCCTGAATTGGAATTATTTAAAATATGACTAATTTGGTCCTCTTTAGAAGAAGAATAAAAGTTTATCCATTTACCATCTGCTGTGAAACTAATTTGCAGACTTCTCTATCATTTTCCCTACAAAGATTCTTAACTGGACTACTTTTAACAATAAAATGATGGTCAATCATCACCCTAGAAGAACAGTCAGAGTCCTATTTTTCACAAAAATTCTCATGTGAGATTGATGAATCAGAACACAGTGACAGATATGAGATTGAGTTGAAGGAAGGGTCAGTTCACTTATGTGAGCATTGCATACATATTGCTACCCTTCCAGAACACTAAAGACTTAAAGTTATCCTTCCTGATGAGCTCAATGGATAGCTATCAATAGAAACCATATATCTAAATATACCGCATAATTTAAAATTGGGCTAAAAGAGTACAAATAGCTCTACATTGTTTATATGATTCTATTCAGAAAAATCAATTAACTGAAGGGAAATTGTCATAAATGGATTAAGATTTTCCTTGTTTTGTAAAATATACTAAGGTAAAAGAAATCAGTAGATAATTCAGAGAAATAAATATATTAGAGGCATACTCTGTAATATTTCTGTATCTCTTTACTGATAATTTACAATGGAAATAGCTGAAACCATATGATATCATCTAAACTCATTTTATGGGAAGCAGTGTGTACTAGCTAGCCATAAATATACTACCATCCAAAAATATAATTTGCTTAAGAAAAGTTGCGGACTGACAAAACTTGGACAAAGATATTTCTAATCAGCTGGTATTACTGATGCCTTCCGTAAAAATGAGATAGAACTTGCCTATGATGACGACAAGTTCTGTGATGTGAACTGTGCTTTCTCAGTACTGTCTGAAACTAACGAAAGCATTTGATTTTCATGGGGAGGAAACTGGTGATGCCAGCCCCCAGTGACCTTGTGCTCTGCTGCAGCTCACCTCTGGATGATGAACTCCCTGGCGCCATCCCACAGGTGCCCGTGCACGATCCACTCGTCCACCGTCTGCAGGTAAGGCCGCACCGTTTCCACCCAGAGAGAGAAAAGGAGGGAGACCTGAGGCAGAGAGTGTGCACGGTCAGCTCTCAGGGTTCCCTGGTCACTAGGATAAAAGGAGGTTTAAACATTTCTGAAATGCCTTTAAAAAAGTGATCGGATTTCTATGTTTTTTGGGGCACAAAGAAATTAAAAATCCAAAAACATACACTATAAAATCCTTATGAAAAACTCACCTAAATGCCGGGCGTGGTGGCTCACGCCTGTGATCCCAGCACTTTGGGAGACCGAGGTGGGCGGATCACCTGAGGTAAGAAATCGAGACCATCCTGGCCAACATGGTGAAACCCCCTCTCTACTAAAAATACAAAAATTAGCTGGGCATGGTGACACGCGCCTGTAGTCCTGGCTACTTGGGAGGCTGAGGGAGGAGAATTGCTTGAATCTGGCAGGTGGAGGCTGCAATGAGCCAAGATCGTGCCACTACACTCCAGCCTGGCAACAGAGTGACACTGTCTCAAAACAAAAAGAAAAAAAAAAGAAAAAAGAAAAACTCACCTAAATATGGGATGATCATATTGTTTGTAGTCCAGACTGGGAAACTTGAGAGTGAAAGTGACACAGAGGCAGCAGGTGTATCCTGAGATAGCCCAGGCAAGCGAACAAGGTTTCCCTATCTAAATCCTATTACTAGCAAAGCATCCATTAAGGATGAGGAAATTGGCTGGGCATGGTGGCTCACGCCTGTAACCCCAGCACTTTGGGAGGCTGAGGTGGGCAGATCACAAGGGCAGGAGTTTGAGACCAGCCTGGCCAATATGGTGAAACCCCATCTCTATTAAAAAAAAATACAGCTGGGTGTGGTGGCTCATGCCTGTAATCCCAGCACTTTGGAAGGCCGAGGTAGGCGGATCAGGAGGTCAGGAGCTCGAGACCAGCCTGGCCAACATGGTGAAACCCCATCTCTATTAAAAATACAAAAATTAGATGGGCATGGTGGTGGGCGCCTGTAATCCCAGGTACTCAGGAGGCTAAGGCAGGAGAATAGTTTGAACCCAGGAGGCAGAGGTTGCAGTGAGCCAAGATCATGACACTGCACTCCAGCCTGGGCGACAGGGCGAGACTCCATCTCAAACAAAAAACAAAAAAAAACCCCAAAAAATTAGCCGGGCATGGTGATGTGCGCCTGTAGTCCCAGCTACTCAGGGGGCTGAGGCAGAAGAATCACTTGAACCTGGGAGGTGGAGGTTGCAGTGAGCCAAGATCGTGCGACTGCACTCCAGCCTGGCAACAGAGCAAGACTACGTCTCAAAAAAAAAAAAAAAAAAAAAAGAAAAAAAGAAATATGGTATTAAATTGGTGTGAAAAAAAGTTATACCAACAAACTAGAAAATACACCTAATGTACATACCCAACTAAGACTGTAGCATTCTAAATTACAGCCTCTAGTTAGATTTTTATTTTTAAATCTATATATTGTTTGAGACAGGGTCTTGCTCTGTTACCCAAGCTGGAGTGCAGTGGCACAAACATGGCTCACTGCAGCCTTGACCTTCCACACTCAAGCCATCTTCCTGCCTTAGCCTCTCGAGTACCTGGGACCATAGGCATGTGCCTCCAGAGCTGGCTACCTTTTTTGAGACAGAGTCTTGCTCTGTTGCCCAGGCTGGAGTGTAGTGGTGCGATCTCGGCTCACTGCATCCTCCCGGGTTCAAGCAATTCTCCTGCCTCAGCCTCCTGAGTAGCTGGGATGACAGGTGTTCGCCACCACACTAGGCTAATGTTTGTATTTTTAGTAGAGACGGGGTTTCACCATGTTGGCCAGGCTGGTCTCGAATTCCTGGTGTCAGCACACCTGGCTACTTTAAAAATTTTTTGTAGAGACAGGGTCTCAGTATGTTGCCCGGGCTGGTCTCAAATTCCTGGGCTCAAGTGATCCTCTCACCTCAGACTCATATGTAGCTGGGACTACAGGCGTGAGCCACTATGCATGGCCTAGATTTGTATTTTTTAAAATACAATATAAAATATATAACATAAAATTTATCTTAACTGTATATTTTAAAAAATTTTAATTTAACTAATTTTTTAAAGACAGAGTCTTACTATGTTGCCCAGGCAAGTCTCAAACTCCTGGGCTCAATCAATCCTCCTGCCTCGGCCTCCCAAAGTGTTGGGATTACAGGCACGAGCCACTGTGCCTGACCCTCAGCATTTTTAAGTTCAGAGGTTTTAAGTACATTCATATCGTTGTGACAAATCTCCAGAACTTTTTCATGTTATAAAACTGAAACTCTGTACCCATTAAACAACAGCTCCCCATTCCCCAGCCCTTGGTAACCAGCATTCCACTTTGTTTCTGTGGATGTGTCTACTTCAGCTATCTCATGTCATGTTAGTTACATGTTAGTGTTTATGTAAGAAAGCGTTATTGTAAATATCTATACACATCAGGTAGGTACTTCTCACAGCTTGCCTTGTCCTTGCCTCATCCTTCTGAGGATCTTGGCAATTAGAGCTGAAAAGCCAGTTTCCTACAGCCTTAAATTTGGAAGTTAATTTAAAAACTCTGAACTGTCTGACGAGTCATCATTCAAGTATCAACAAAGAACTACCATCAGCTGTCTATCACTCCTCTGCTGTGCAGCATGGAGTCACACACTTTAGGCAGAAGTCTCACTTACGGTTTGCTCAGAGGCTTCTCCAACATTGTCATATTCAAGAATGGCCTTGTACAGGGTGTTAAGCAGGTGAGAGGCCCGGACGACATTTCGAGTATCAGGTGGAACTTCTGCTACTCCAGTACTAAACACTTTGTGCAGAACCTTGAGCTGAGACAATCGAGGTGCCAACTTGTCCACCACTATTGCAAGAGTTATTGTAGTATCTGCAAATATCAATAAATCAAACTCAACAGCAAGGAAAAATACATGCATCTAAAATGTGACATAAATGCTGGCAAATCATCAGGCTTATGGACAGGCAGGGCAAAATGGAGGACGGTGGATTTTAATCTCATACCACAAGGACCTAATTTCCCTAAGGAAGAACTCCTGCAAGTCACAGAGAAAAAGACAACTCAGCAGAAAAATAATGTATAAAGGAACTGACAGTTCATAAAAAAGGAATGATGAGTGATTCTAAAACATACAGAAAGTCACTTGACCTTACTTATAATAAAAGAACGCAAATTAAAATTACACTAGGTAAAACAAAACACCTCCCAATGGGCTAATGTTACAGAGAGGGGTGAGGGAGGCTGTGCCTACAAAGGGCTGCACAAGCAAGCTCCTGGGAGGCGATGGCACAGCTGTGATCTGAACATGGAAGTGGCTATGTGGAGCTAGACATGTGATAAACTATACATGAATATACCACACCCACCCCTGTTCAAAGCAAGTTCCTGCGACACTGGTGAAACCATGTCAGGTCTGCAGTTTGGCTAATGTGCTGTGTCAATGTCAGTTTCCCAGTTTTGACCATGTACTGTCACTATGTAAGGTTTTACCACTGGGGGAAGCAAGGTCATGGGAACACAGGGCCTCTCTGTACTATTTTTTGTGGTAGTTCAAAATGAAATTTAAGGGGAAAAAAGCTACATGGGTTACCATTTTACAGCTGTCATACTGGTGAAGACCAAAACGTCTGGTAACACACAGATGGCAAGAAGTGTGAGGAAACAGGTATTCATCTACTTGGTTCACAACAGTAAAAATGTATTTACCTATACCTCCCCATAAAGTGGCAAAACTTAGGAAAATCACACATGACCCAGCAATTCCATTTATAAGAACCTACCCCACATGGTCAGATGCAGTATAATCCCAGCTTATGCCCGTAATCCCAGCATTTTGGGAGGCCAAGGTGGTCAACATGGTGAAAGCCTGTCTCTATTGAAAATACAAAAATTAGCTGGGGATGGTGGCAGGTGCCTGTAATCAGTTACTCGGGAGGCTGAGGCAGGAGGATGGCGTGAACCCGGGAGGCGGAGCTTGCAGTAAGCAGAGATTGAGCCACTGCACTCCAGCCTAGGTAACAGAGCGAGACTCCGTCTCAAATGAAAAAAAAAAAAAAAGAACCTACCCTACAGATAACTCACTGCCTGTGTACGATAACGGATATGTAGAAGTGATTATCACTGCAGCACTACTGGCAATAGCAAAAGCCTGGGAACAACCTAAATCCATTAAGGGGACTGGGCTATGACACGACCATATGATGAAACACTCAATTTGTAAAAAGGAAAACAGAAGCTCTTCATATATGTATGGTATTATCCTCAAAATTTAAACTGGAAAAATTTGAAGAGAGCAGTGTAATGACTGCTAGGTATGCGTATATGTATATGCACTGCTCATGTATGTTGAAACTCTTTCTGGAAGGATGCGTAAGAAGCCAAGGACCTGGCTGTCTCTGGAGAGGAGAACTGACTGGCTGGGGTACTGGTGCAGGAAGAATAATTTAGATTTTTCATTCTAAATCTTCTGTAGTTTTTTGATTTTTAGAGATATGAATGGCTTAAAAATATAAATTTAAAATAATTTTAAAAGAAGCATTCACGAGAACTACTTATCTGCTAGGCAACTTTCAAATCTTATATAATAAAAACTCTAAGTGGCATTCAAATTATGAGTTACGTGTAGTATGAGTAAAGATGAAGAACATTTAATACCATTATTGATGATGCACTTCTCAATTTCTGCAAGTTCCTCTTTGAAACTAATGAAATATTTGTACAGGGCCCACATGAAAGCCTGGTAGGTTCTAAAGGGAGCTTCAGTTGACTTCTTAGGAACAGACCCACTTCCAGGCAGCATGCTCTCAGAACTGTGTCCCATGACTTCATCAATGAACTCCTGGAGTCGAAACACAACCTGGCCATATGCTGCTATTTGTTCCAGCACAGATCGTAAACAGCTCTACAACACAAGCAAACTGCAATTATTCAAAGGTGGTCTTCTGTAAACATTCAAATTCATTTCCCTCTCGCTGTAAAATACTTCTTTTGCAATTGTTTTAAACAGTATGTTTAGTAGAAGACAAAGTAATAATATGATTAATATTTATAATTTTATACACAAAGGAAAAAGTGAACAATAATTTCAACAGACTAGAGAATTATGGCTTATATTTTTAAAAACATACATAAGTAAATGTACTTAAAGCAAAACAAAATTACAGTATATAACTTTCACAATACAGAATGACAAATAAAAAGCAGAAAATGCAAATTGAAATTAAATATGTTCCAAACAATATTAAGGAATCCTCTACGTACTATAAAGATGCACAACTCAATTTTTCTTTTTGGATATTAAATATTTTTAAGTTAGCTTTTTTTTGCATGTGAGGAAGCAAGAACGAGTTCAATAGCAATTTTAATATTGTAAAATGTTCTAAAATTATATTACTAGTTTACATAAATCCTATTTCTTAAATTACCATAAATACAAATAACTTACATGTGTTAAATGAGTTACTATAATATTGTTTCTCACAGTTACCTTCCCATCTATCAACTGAAATATAAAGAGCTTTTTCACTCCTGAAAGTAACCTGAAATGAGATTAAAAAAAGACGAGTGTACTTTAAGTCTAGAAAAATATTCATGACAGTATGCCCAGGACATTTTTTTTTTTTTTTGACAGGGACTCACTTTGTCACCCACCCAGGCTGGAGTGCAGCAGCATGATCACAGCTCACTGGAGCCACAACCTCCTGGGTTCAAGTGATTCTGCAGCCTCAGCCTCTCCAGCAGTTGGGACTACAGGTGCATGTCACCATGCCTGGCTAATTTTTGCATTTTTTGTAGATACGGGGTTTCACCATGTTGCCCAGGCTGGTCTCGAACTCCTGAGCTCAAGTGATCCACCTGCCTTGGCCTCCCACAGCACTGGGATTACAGGTGTGAACCACCATGCCCCACCTCAGGAAATTTTTATTAAATATTCAGAATTAGGGGCAAAAAGGTCAGATAATAAGAAAATGGAAGACATCAATCTTTTCATCTGATTACCCTAAGACTCAAGATATTTCAACATCATCTTAGAGAAGTCTAAAACATGTTGTCAAAGCATCTCCCCTATATACTTGACGACCCAAAGAGATCTTCCTATTTCTAAGAATGCGAGCATGTCAATATCATACTTTATGGTGAGAGCACCAGGACTTGGAATTTCAGTAGTAACAGCACCATGTGCCGCATTAGATTCCTGGCTTCCAGGTACGGGCACAGGCCCTCATTGATATACTCCACCTATTAAGAATAGTCAGTAGCTACCGGCGCGGTGGCTCACGCCTGTAATCCCAGCACTTTGGGAGGCCAAGGTGGGTGGATCATGAGGTCAGGAGATCTAGACCATCCTGGCTAACATGGTGAAACCCCGTCTCTACTAAAAAAGTAAAAATTAGCCGGGCTTGGTGGTGGGTTCCTGTAGTCCCAGCTACTCGGGAGGCTGAGGCAGGAGAATGGCGTGAACCCAGGAGGTGAAGCTTGCAGTGAGCTGAGATAGAGCTACTGCACTCCAGCCTGAGCAACAGAGTGAGACTCCGTCTCAAAAAAAAAAAAAAAAAATCAGTAGCAAATCTTGCTTTGAACTCAGGTGTTAAAGAAGAGATGGGCTAACCTAAGTAAATCATATGCTAAATTATTTAAAATGAAAATGAAGTAATTATATCAAACTCTCTCAATCTCCACAGTCAAATCTGGTCCGAACTTCACACCTAATGGACCTTTTCTAGTTTGCATGTGAAAATGCTTGAAAAGTTTCCTTTAATAAAAGTTTTTGCTTCTCAGTAATCAAGTCTCATAAAGACTATTAATTAAATGAACATTTCTTACCATAGGGTTTCCCGAATAACCTGAGTCTCAGTAACCAAAACCCTGTCATCTGGAACATACAATGGATCACTGCTGTACAAGTGTTGGTCCCTATGAGACAGCAAACATAAATGTCAATAGAAAGGTTTCTAAGTAAGTAAATAACTTATCTCAAAGAATATCTGCAATTTAGTGCTAACTTAAGTAGCAATCAACTAACAAGTATACATAATAAATGGCTTAAATGCCCCCTATATTTTCATGTCAATCAGAATACTCTGAGAAACACTTTCAGAACAATTACAATTGTTACGTTTATTGCTGATTTAGGCAAATGTTTACAACTATGTAATGTTGTTTTCTGGAAAACAAGATGTGTATTTTTGCAGTAAGTATACCAAAACAGAAATCAAATAATGCCCTAATATATACCAATCCATTTACACTGAAATTAACAACAAAAAATGGAAACAGAGACTATAATTAAATAATACTATAATTTAATGATTTTCAATAACAAATAATTAAAAACTATTCAACTAAAATTTTCAACACCAGCCAGGTGTGCTGGCTCACGCCTGTAATTCCAGCACTTTGGGAGGCCGAGGCAGGTGGATCACTTGAGGACAGGAGTTCAAGACCAGCCTGGCCAACATGGTAAAACCCCATCTCCGCTAAAAATATAAAAATTAGCTGGGCATGGTGGCATGCACCTATAATCTCAGCTACTTGGGAGGCTGAAGGACGACAATTGCTGGAACCCGGGAGGCAGATGTTACAGTGAGCCATGATTACGCCACTGCACTCCAGCCAGGGTGACAGAGCGAGACTTTGTCTCCCCCTGCAAAAAAAAGTAAAATAAAATAAAAAATAAAAAATTAGTTGAGTGAGGTCTAGACTGCAGTGAGCTGAGATCTGACCACTGCACTGCAGTCTGGGCAACGAAGAGTGAGAATCTGTCTCCAAAAAAAAAAGAATTGTCAAAACAAAAACAAGTTTAAATTTCAGGGAAGAACTTAAGTCACAAATCAAAGCCAAACGTTTAAACATCAAAGTTTCTTCTATCATCACATTAAATGAAAACTTTAGCTTCTTACCAGACAGCAGCTAAATTAGAGTGCAAATGTAAACTATGAGGAAACTGGGAGGGCCTGGCTGTCCAGTACTGATGGACCACATGATGTTCCAGCCAGCTTCGGTCATCTGGCTCATCTGCTTGAAAGAAATGTAATCAGTTTGAGTTAACAACAACAAAATACTGGGTCACAATACCTGGACTTACAGCTCCATTCAAACGTATAGTTGAAAATGGCTTTTTAAAAATAACAGCTACCTAACATTTATGTATATATGATTATTTTAAACCACATATATCTGCTGGGTTCTATGGCTCACACATATAATCCCAGCCCTTTGGGAAGCCAGGGTGGGATGACCACTTGAATCCAGGAGTTCAAGACCAGCCTGGGCAACAAAGTATGACCCCCCATCTCCACAAAAAATACAAAAAAATTAGCCAGGGATGGTGGCATGTGCTTGTTCTCGGGAGGCTGACACGAGAGGGGACTGGTTGAGCCAAGAGGTTGAGGCTGCAGTGATCTGAGATCATGCCACTACGCTCCAGCCTGGGTGACACAGTAAGACCCTATCTCAAAAAACAAAGTAAAATAAAATAAAACCACACATATAGAAACGCATACTAAATTTAATTAAATGTAACTGACTAGAAAGTAAAAAAAAAAAAAATTGCCACATACATAAAAAGATATAAATGGTATATGTTAATTGTCCAGTAACCATTAAGGAAACTGAAATGGTAACTGAAGACCTTCCCAACCACTACGGAAGTCTCAGGACTGGTGCTAAATTTTGAAGGATTAGATAACCTCTATCTTATACAAGTTGTTTGAAAAAGCAGAAAAAGAGAAAGCCACCTAACATTTTATGAGGCTAATGTAACAGTGATGCTTTAAACTAGACAAAGACAGGATACATGTAATTCATCAAAGAATAAAGATGAAAAATCCTACATTAAAAAAGAGCTAACCTGTTGGGCTCGGTGGCTCACACCTGCAATCCCAGCCTGGGCTGGTCTCAAACATAGTGAGACCTCATCTCTACAAAAAAGTAACAAACTTAGCTGGGTGTGGTGGCATGCACTGGAAGCCCCAGCTTCTTAGGAGGCTGAGGTGGGAGGATACTTTGAGCCCAGGAGGTTGAGGCTGGAGTGAGCTGTGATCACGCTACTGCACTCCAGCCTGGGTGACAGAGCAGGGCCCGGTCTTAAAAAAAAAAAAAAAAAAAAAGCAAATCCAAAATTGAATCCGATCTAAAAATGTACTAAAAAATAACATGATCAAGCAAGTTTAGGTGAAGAATTCAAGGATAATTCAACATCAGAAAATCTATCGATGCATTATTAGGATAAAAGAGAAAAGTTATGAGATTATCTCACGGATAAATAGTAGCATTTAATAAAAATTCAACATTTATTCATAATTAAAGACTTCTAGAAAAAAAAAGTAATAGAAGGAAATTGTCTTAATTTGATAAAGGCCACATACCCTGAACTGATACCAAACAACCATCACACTTAACGGAGGAGTTTCAGGTATAACCCCCCTTAGGATGAGACCTAGTCATCCAGGAAGCCCACTCCCATGAGCTGTTGCTTCTGCTACGGACTAGAGGGTTGGGCTGCTGGGCCAGAAAAGAGATTTGATCATGTCACAGAGAAGATACAGGCATAAGAACTAGCAGGAAGAATAAAACCATCAATATTCGCAGATGATACTAATCATCTATATAAGAAACCAAATGAATCAACAAACTATTATGAGAATTCAGTAAAAATGCTGCATATACGGACAACTTACAGAAAGCAATATTATTTCTTCTACATCAGGAATAAACAAAAGAGGCAACATTCACAAAAATAAAAACTATAACATATGTAGAAATTAACAAATGAACACTCAAGATGTTTAAAAAAAATTTCCAAACTCTAGTAAAAGATAAAAAATTACGATAAATGTAGCTATTATTATGTTAAGGCAATCAAGCCTCCCCAAATTAGATCTATAAATTCTCTGCAATCCCAATAAAAACTCCAGCTGGATTATTTTTTATTTATTTATTTTTTTTGAGATAAAGTTTTGCTCTTGTTGCCCAGGCTGGAGTGCAATGGTGTGATCTTGGCTCTCTGCAACCTCTACCTGCTGGGTTCAAGCGATTCTTCTGCTTCAGCCTCCCAGGTAGCTGGGATTACAGGCATGCGCCACTATGCCCAGCTAATTTTGTATTTTTAGTAGACGTGGGGTTTCACCATGTTGGTCAGGCTGGTCTTGAACTCCTGACCTCAAGTGATCCACCCAGCTCGGCCTCCCAAAGTGCTGCGATTACAGGCGTAAGCCACTGCACCTGGCCTTTTTTTTCTTTAAAGTTTACCACCCTGCTTCCAAAATGTCTATAGAAGAATAAAAGTTCACAAATAGCTAAGCCAATTTTGAAAAAGAGCAGTGATTCACATCTGTAATCCCCGCACGTTGGGAGGCAGAGGCAGGTGGACGAGTTGAGGTCAGGAATTTGAGACCAGCCTGGCCAACATGGTGAAACCCTGTCTCTACTAAAAATACAAAAATTAGCTGAGTGTGGTACACGCCTGTAACCCCAGCTACTCGGGAAACTGAGGCAGGAGAATTGTTTGAACCTGGGAGATGGAGTTTGCAGTGAGGTGAGATCATGCTACTGTACCATAGCCTGGGCGACAGAGTGAGACTCCGTCTCAAAAAAAGGGGGTGGGGGGGAAGAGCAAAGTGGGCTGGGCATGGTGGCTCACATCTGTAATCCCAGCACTTTGGGACGCAGAGGCGGAGTAATTGCTTGAGTCTAGGAGTTTGAGACTAGCCTGGGCAACATGGTGAAACCCTGTGTCTACAAAAAATACAAAAATTAACTGGGTATGGTGGCACTCACCTGTAGTTCCAGCTACTCAGGAGGCTGAGGTGGGAGGATCGCTTGAGGCCAGGAGGCAGAGGTTGCAGTGAGCTAAGATTGTGCCACTGCACTCTAGCCTGGGAAACAGAGTGAGACCCTTGTCTCCAAAAAAAAAGAAAAGGAGCCAAGTGATTTTCCTGCCTCAGCCTCCCAAGTAGCTGAAAGGAAACTTGCCATCTATGTATTAAGACATAATACTACAAAGCCACACAAATAAAAAAGTCTGTCTGTTTCTGGGTCACACTGACACCAAGTGCACAGATTAGAAAGTCCGGAATAAATGCAGCTGTCCCTCAGTATCCAATGGGGACTGGTTGCAGGAATGCTGCAGACGCCAAAATCTGCAGGTGCTCAAGTCCCTGATATAAAATGGCATAGTATTTGCATATAACCTATGCATATCCTCCCTTATACTTTTTTATTTTAATTTTTTTTTGAGACAGGGTCTCGCTCTGTTGCCAGAGCTGGAGTGCAGTGGCACAATCTTAGCAAAATCAGTCCTTCTCCAATTAAAAAAAAAAAAAAAAAAGGAAACATTTACAGCTGAGAAAGTTCTCAGAAGTATAGGAAAAAAATTACAAAATTACACTCTACATGTATGAATTCAACATTAATTCTATAGTACTACTACTTAAGCATCATAGAAAACATTACTAATGGTTTTAAAAATTGGTTTTATAAGGATGGTAGAGCTTAGCCAATACCTTGATTACATGGAACTGATCTCAAAGTTTGCCTTTCCTTCTAGGGAATTTGTCTATTAGAAAATGCGAGCACCTCATAACACATAATACCTTTCCAACTGATACAAGGATCCAGTTTTCTGTTTTGATCTTGTTCTTCTAACGGTGTCCTGTCTACCTGAATTCCAGAGTCCTCTCTGCTTAAGGGCTGTTGATCATTTTCCTCTTCACTTTCTTCAGACCAATTCTGATTTAAAAAAGAGATACACTTTAGCTTTACAGAGTATAACACTTAAAGCTATTTACATTAAAAGACTAAGAAAACTTTGAAGAAAAGCAAAAACTTTGAAGCAACATGGAACAGAAAAACAAATTTTTTTTTCCTAAATCTCTTGGAAGTGCCTATTATAGGAATGGAAATATGATTACTACTTTTTCTTTTTTTCTATAATGTTGAAATAATAAGGAATGGAATTATTTTTTGTGGCAAAAAGTCCCAAGATCACAGGTCCTTAAGGGATACTTGTACTCACCCCTTTTAACTTCTTTTTTTTTTTTTGAGACAGAGTCTCTCGCTTTGTCATCCAGGTTGGAGTGCAATAGCACGATCTCAGCTCATTGCAACCTCCACCTCCTGTGTTCAAGAGATTCTCGTGCCTGAGCCTCCTGAGTAGCTGGGATTACAGGCGTGTACCACCACACCCAGCTAATTTTTTGTATTCTTAGTTGACGGGGTTTCACTATGTTGCCCAGGCTGCTCTCGAACTCCTCTGGCCTCAAGTGATCCGCCTACCTCAGCCTCCCACAATGCTGGGATTACAGTTGTGAGCCACCAAGCCCAGACAACTTTTTTAGAATTTATTTTTTAAAAATAGACACAGGATCTCGCTATGTTGCCCAGGCTGGTCTCAAATTCCTAGGCTCAAGCAATCCTCCTGCCTCTCGAAAGTGAGCAGGAGATTACAGATGTGAGCCACCATGCCCGGCCCCTTTTAACTTCTTACCACTAATGATTTGGTGCGAAATCCTAATCAGTCTTCCATAATAAATGACTCTAGCTTAGTGAAGAGTGTTCCTGTTTTAGCTAAGTTGACCTAGGGTGGAAAGACCCATGAAAATCATCTATATCACCTGGCGTGTATTTCAATTTTCAATAGCAAAACTACTACCACTTACTGGTGTGTCCATGTACGGACCAATGTCCATTTCTTCATCTTCCATCAAGTATTTTCCCCAGTCGAAATCATCTTTCTTTTCTAAAATGTAACAGAAGAACTTCATTGGCTTTATTATATCTATCTTTGAAAAAAAACCTCAAAACTAAGGAAAAAAGACTAACAAGACTCAAAATACTCAGGAAATAAAAATTTAAAAATATTGAAACATTTAATAAATTGATATCCTAAAACATTTTACATTTTAATTAACTCATTCTCAAAGGTGAGTGTTCTCTTTCTACAGCTGAAGGTAGTTTGTAAAGTTAGAACGAATACAGTCATCCCTCAATATCTGAGGGGAATTGGTTCCAGGAGGTACACCACCCTCCGCAATGCTCAAGGCTGACAGAAAATGGTGTAGTATGTGCACATAACCTAAATACATCCTGCTGTATACTTTAAATAATCTCTAGATTACTTATAATACCTAATATCATGTAAATGCTATGTAAATAGTTTTTTAAAAGATTGTATTATTTTAGACTGTTGTATTATTATTTATTTATTTTGAATATTTTTGATCTGTAGTTGATTGAATCTGTGGGTCTGGAACCTGAGAATATAGAGGGCTGACAGCATTTTAAATAAAATTTTACAATTGTGATAGCATCTAAAGCAATAGAAATACTTTAGTTTCACAGATTTTTAGAAGTTTCAATAAAACTCAGTGTTTAGCAACTAAGTAATCAAACAATTTCTCTTTTACTTCTCATATGTTAAGGAATCTAGTAACATACCCACTTCTTTATTTCTTGGTGTCTCCACATAACTGCTGTTTGAAGGAGAGTCTGACAGACACAGAAGAAGTGACAGTATGGAATAATGTGCATCTGTCTTTAAAACAAAAAAAAGAACATAAATCTCTGAGGTTGGGAAATGCTTTCTACACCAGATTGAGTAAAGATAACTCCATGACAGTTATGTCCCCAATTTTTTTCCTGGTTTGAGAAAACATGAGTTATACCTAAATAATCCTTAACCTTCAAACTTCTTCATAGCTCAAATGCATACACATAAGGAACCTCAAAGCCATCTGAAATCTGAGTTCTATATTTCTAACAAGTATAAGATCTGAGTGGATGACAGCTTTTTATTTCTAAAACGACGGAAATGTCTTTAGAGTATAACATTATGGTTAAAAATTATTCTCCTGTGGCAATATGTATCATGAAGGTTAAACATGCCTGATAGTTTAACTAAGATGTATCATATTTTATTTAACCAGTCCCCTATTAATGAAATTTAGATTTTTTCCCAATCTTTTGCTATCACAAACTTATGTTGTTTCATATTTTTTTTCCCCCCGAGATGGATTTTCGCTCTGTCGCCCAGGCTGGAGTGCAATAGTGCAATCTCAGCTCACCGCAACCTCAGCCTCCCCTGGTTCAAGTGATTCTCCTGTCTCAGCCTCCCGAGTAGCTGGGATTACAGGTACGCACCACCACGCCCGGGTAACTTTTGTATTTTTAGTAGAGATGGGGTTTCACCATGTTGGCCAGGATGGTCTCCAACTCCTGACCTCATGATCCGCCCACCTTGGCCTCCCAAAGTACTGGGATTACAGGCATGGGCCACCACACTTGGCTGTTGTTTCATAATTATAAGAGTTTATCTGTATAATAAATTCCTAAAAAGTGAAACACTAAGTCAAAGAGTGTTTGCATTTGGAATTTTGAGAAATAATGCCAAAATATATTCCATACAGGTAATACAAATATACATACGCATAGAATTACCTGTTTCCCACACCTTTTATTAATCAGATCGGTGAAAAACATTCTCTCAGTGTTGCTTTAATTTGCATTTATCTTATCTTATGAAATGGTAGGCACTTTTCCATAAGCTTAAAATTACTGATTTTCCTTTATTGGGTATTACTCTCCTCTGTTCAAGTTTCTATTTGATTGCCAGTCTTTTCTTATTTATATGATTGATTTTTAAATTGGGATATTAGCTGTGTGGGAATGCATTAACTCAGCAAGCCTGAATTGCCAAAGCCTTCAGCATCCCCCAAAAGGGCTTATTTTCATGAATAAGCCTTGGCCAGCTTGTGGTAACTGAGCTCTTGAAATATCTGAACTGGCAAATGTGTTCTGTATGCTCAGATCTTGAACCATGTTGTACTAGTCTGTTTAGATAGTTTGCGCAAACAGTGTGACTGAAGGTGAACACCTGCTTTCCTTTGAAGGCTCTGGAACTTCAGTAATTGTGGTCAGTCACACAGGTCCTATGCCTAAGAGATAAGCCCCCAATAAAAGCCCCAGAGTCCTGGGCTCAGGTGTCCAGGTAGACAACACTGGCCACCTGACAGTATGTCAGAAGAGACAGAGCAAGCATCCAAACCAGACTCAAATATGGCAGGGATGTTGGAATTATCAGCCCGGGAATTGAAAACAACTATGATTAATATGCTAAGAGTGCTAATGAAAAATGTGGATAACAAGGAAGAACAGATCAGAAATATAAGTGGTGAGATGGAAACTCAAAGAATCGAAGTGTTCCAATGAAAAATAAAGTGTCAGAAATGAAGAATGCTTTTGATGGGCTCACCCAGTAGACTGGCATGAGCTTGAAAATATATCAACAGAGCAGGCCGGGGTGGCTCACGCCTGTAATCCCAGCACTTTTGGAACCAAGGTGGGCAGATCACTTGAGGTCAGGAGTTCGACACTACCCTGGCCAACATGGCGAAACCTCATCTCTACTAAAAATACAAAAATTAGCCGGGCGGGGTGGTGTACGCTTGTAATCCCAGTTACTTGGGAGGCTGAGGCTGCAGTGAGCTGAGATTGCACCATTGCATTCCAGCCTGGGCAACAGAGCAAGATTCCGTCTCAAAAAACAAAAAAACAAACAAACAAAAAGACATTGAAAACAGGAACAATAATAAAAATGGCAAAACCAAAAACTGATTCGCTGAAGAGATTAATAACATTAATAAATCTCTAGACATACTAACCACAAAAAAAAAGAGAGTATACATACATTACTAAAATCAGAAAATAAAGAGGGGTCATCACTACTGATCCCACAGACATTAAAAGGATAATAAAGAAGCTCGGCATGGTGGCTCATGCCTGTAATCCCAGCACTTTGGGAGGCCAAGGCAGGTGGATTGCTTGAGGTCAAGAGTTCGGGACCAGCCTGGCCAACATGGTGAAACCCTGTCTCTACTAAAAATACAAAAAATTAGCTGGGCATGGTGGTGGGCACCTGTAATCCCAGCTACTCGGGAGGCTGAGGCAGGAGAATCACTTGAATCTGGGAAGTGGGGGTTGCAATGAGTCGAGACTGCACCACTGCACTCCAAGCCTGGGTGACAAAGTGACACTCAGTCTTAAAAAAAAAAAAGAAAAAAAGTGTGAAGTTATTGCTACACCACACAGCAATCCCCAACCGTTTTGGCACCAGGGACTGGTTTTGTGGAAGACAATTTTTCCATGGACTGTTGGGTGGGGGTTGGTTTCAAGGATGAAACTGTTCCACCTCAGATCATTAGGCATTAGATTGTCATAAGGAGCATGCAACCTAGATCCCTCAAATGTGCAGTTCACAATGGGGTTTGCTCTCCTATGAGAATCTAATGCCACCGCTGATCTGACAGGAGGTGGAGCTCAGGCAGTCATCCTCACTCACCCCACTGCACCTCCTGCCATGGAGCCCTGTTCCTAGCAGGCACATATTGGTACTCGTCCACCATGTGGGGGTTGGGGACCTCTGCCATAACAAACACATCCAAGATGCCACACAGCAAGAGAAAAGGATAACCAATCCCACCTTGTGTAAGTGGGTGGGGGCTGTGGACACAGAGGGGATAGTGAAGCAGACAAGACTGCACAGCCTTACTGATTCCCTCAACAAACATGCACTGTCCACTGTGCTCTAGGTGTCCGGGAACAAATCAGACACAGAGCCCTATGCCTGTAAAATGTGCCTTTTAAAGGGGGAGACAAGAAAGGAACTATAAAGAATTGAAATACATAGCATGTGTGGAGACAGTGCCTGAGTTTAATATTAAAACGTGAGCTTCCTCAGGCAGGAGAAAGGGAAAGAACTATGTAGGCACAAGATGTGTCACAGCAGAGCTAGGGAATGTGGTCCCACCGTGTTCAGGGAACCCACAGCTGTTTCCATACGCTTGCCATCCTTGGTTTGACCTCTAGGGGGCTACAGACTCAGCAGCTAAGGTCAGCCATGTGGGCTCTGCTTGCTTATGTGACCCACCCCCAATAAAAATGCTGGTCACCAAGGCTCAGCCGAGTGGCCCTGGGGGGAGTGGAGGGTAATACTTTGCACATGTTGTCATATACTGTTACTGAGAGAATTAACTGCATCCCCAGGTGACTCCACTAGGAAGGAACATTTGGACATGCGTGCCTAGCTTCTCCTAGACTTTGCTCTAAGCACCTTTTCCCTTTGGTGATTTTAATCTGTATCCTTTCACTGTAATAAACTATTAACAGTGAGGATAACAGCTTTTTTTTTTTAAGTTCTGTGAATCCTTTGAGCAAATCATTATGCCAAAAGGTGGTCTTGGGGAATCCCCCAAACAATATGAAAGTATACCAGGCATCTAGTAAGCATCTACAGACAGTCACTGCCAAGTGCTGAGAAACCATTTGAAAGTTTTGAGATACCCAAACAATGCTACTATTTGTATCAATCTCTGATCTCTCTTTCCTTAGTAGGACTGAGGTGAAAAAATGATTAAAAACAAGCTCTTTCTTTCATCACAAACTGAGGCATATCTGGTTTGATGGCAATATTTAAGTAAATTTCCAAGAGATCCCGTTAGCCAGTAGATAATACTAAAATAGAATGTTTAAACAGTAACTGAAACAAATTGACGATAATCAGATAGGAAACAGTAAAATACACAGTGGAGATCTCATAATTGAAGGCATACCTTTATTTCCTTTATACTGGGAAGTGGTGCATTTAGAAATTCCTCCGTTAATCTCTTCCAACTAGCAGCTTTGCTTAGATCAGAATGAATGACAAATTTTTCATAAATTCTAAAATATAAGAAAAGATTATAAAGCTATCTTAAAAAGATCTATAAGAAAATACATATATTTCTGGATGCGTATATATACACACTGACTTACCCTTCGATTGTTTTTTCTATTTTGTGGCTGTTGACATCCAAGAAACGATGAAATCTATTAAAGACAAAATGCAATTCTTATGCCAACTCTGTCACACAGGTAAGTGAACTCATCTCATGGCCCTCCATATCCCCCATATGCTCTGTACTCAGCTACACATTTCCAGAATGGAGTGTACCTTGTCCTCCGTTACCTCCACCATCAGGCAGGCAAATAATCACCGTGTCCGAGACTGTGCAAGCATCCTTTCTCCAGCACACAGGTTCTTCCTGACCCTCCCAACCTTGTCCTCTGGCTCCTCTGTCTTCCCATAAGCCCCTGTACCTAAGTCCAGCTGAACACATTCTACATCAGGTGGTCCCAACCTTTTTATGCCATAGTGAGGCCCGGTGAAGCCTAAGGACCCCTTCTCTGAATAACATTTTTAAAGCCAAAAAATAAATACAAAGGAATCCCATTATACTGAGATACAGTTGTCAAATATTTAAAGAAGTTTAAGATATGGCAAGAAATGTTATTTATGAAAGTATTAAATAACAAGATTTAGCAGTAGGTCCAATTAACTACCATTAAAGTAACAGTAAACAACATTTACAAATATCTACAACTCTGATGTGAAAACAGTATGCGATTTCTACTGGTGATAAAGTCATAGGTAGGCTAATACTGCTATGGTTTGCTGCCTTCATTCATAATAGAAGGAGATGCTACTTTTCAGTTAGAGAAAAGTGAGCTTGCTCAGTGCAAGCTCCGCCTCCTGGGTTCGCGCCATTCTCCTGCCTCAGCCTCCCAAGTAGCTGGGACTACAGGCGCCTGCCACCACGCCCGGCTAATTTTTTGTACTTTTAGTAGAGACCGGGTTTCACCGTGTTAGCCAGGATAGTCTCGATCTCCTGACCTCGTGATCCACCCACCTCGGCCTCCTAAAGTGCTGGGATTACAGGCGTGAGCCACCGCGCCCAGTCCACAATTTTCAAGAATGTAAACATGAACTATTCATTTTTCTGATGGTTTAAAGCATCATAAAATTACAGCACAGCCTATGCAACTAATGTATATGTACATAGCATAGCCTATGCAAAAAATGTTTTCCATTTTTTAGTATCAAAGCGAGCAATCTGTACTTAAATAAAATTACACTACTGAAAAACACATGATTCTAGGCCAGTAAATGGGTGAATGGAACACCACTTTACCTATTATAATTTAGTTCCTGAAATCTGTGAATGAAAATAGTAACCTCCAACGTCTCTCCCAGCTCTAAAATGATGACAATCTGCCTACTGTCATTTAGAAATATTAGTAGAAAAATAACTTGGATTTCAGCATTTAAGTTTCTGTATTGTATAACCTATTTCACACATTGTTTATTTTTATAAGTTACACTTAAGAATTCAGTTTATTACTTCAGAAACTTGGCATGGTTTAAAAGAATCTGAAAGCCCCGTATTCCTATTATAAGCCAACTAGACACTTTATGGCTATGATCATTAAGGTAACTAAGATTACGGATTTTGAAAAACTGTTCATTATTCAAGAAGATTTTTACTGAAATTAAACAGGTAGAATATTAACATTAACATTTTTTTAGTAATAATTTCATTATGGGTAATGACTCTAAAAGTATTAATTTACATCTCCCATAAAGAAAAATAGGAGATCTCACTTTACGTAAATATCTAAATTCTGTAAGTCTTTAAAAATTAGTTACAAGAGAAACTGCATTAGAAATTGTATTAGGTGACTCAGCGTGCTACGTGCCAGGAGCTGTGCAGAGATGCAGCATTCTAGCTGGAGTGGAAGTGGAGGAGACAGTAATGACAGGTTAAATCAGTGTCATGACACGCGTTTTGGAAAAAGGAGAGCAGGGTGAGAGATCTTACACTGGGCTGACCAGGGAGCAGGAGTCAGTGAGAATACAATCTCTTTAATTTAAAAAAAAAAAAAATTATAAACATGGAGTTGCTACGTTGCCCAAGCTGGCCTGGAGTCCCGCCTGGGCCTCCCAGAGCGCTGGGGTTGCAGGCGCGCGCGCCGGCCGGCAAGAAACCCAGTTCACGCTTTCCCCGTGACGATCAGGACGCGTCCCGGGTAACACGCCCTGTGGTGCGCAGGGCACCGCGCCGAGAGCGCTGGCCGGCGGGGAGCAGGCGGTGGCAGGGCCTGCGAAGGCTCCCTGAGGCCGCGCCCGCCTCCGCCCCATGCCCTGCCCCAGCGCGCCCCGACCCCGGGCTGTGCGGGACCCACGCGCGGGCTCCGGGCTGTGGCCGGGAACCCGCCCGCGCGCCGTGCCCCACACCTGAAGTTGGACCAGGCGAAGTTTAGGGCGAGCTGGAAGTTGGGGTCTGCCTCGTCCTGGAGGCCGGCGACACCCCGGACGAGCTCCCGCACGTCGCGCTCCTGCTGCGCGTCCAACCGACTCCACGGTGGCCCGTGCCGCGCCATGTTCCGCGCTCCTGCAGCGCGCGTCTAACGAATTGGTGCCTGTCGCGCGAGAGCTCGGGCTCCTGCCGCAGTCGCCTCCGGAGCTGGCGGCATTCTCGCGAGAGTTCGCGCTCCCGCGCCGGGCGACTTCCAAGCCGACCGCTATTCTCGCGACAGTTCGAGCTCCGGCTGTGGAGGGTACTGCCTGGCGCTGTCCCGTGGTGGGGACTGGAGTGCGCATTTTCTGGTTGCCCGACGGTACGTTTTCTACTGTACTCAGAGTTAGCTGGTGTCATCGTGAATCAGATACATAAGGGTCTCTGGCCGGCCTCGGTGACAGTCAGTGATTTTGAGAGCAGCCCGTTAGGTGCCCGGTCAGCAAATGCATTGGGACCCGCCTTTCCAGGAACCCTGAACTGCTTACCTGCTGAACCCTCCCGGCCCTGCAGCTTCTCCCTCCAGTGATGGTCTCTGCGGATTTCCGTGCCCCATCCACACAACACAGTCACGCTACACACATCCATGCTACACAACCAGCATCAGCGAAGCAGCTGTCCCGACCCGCTAGTAGTGCCTGCTGGCCCTTGCCTCGCCTGTTCCTCAGGGGCGGCTTGGGGGACTTCATGACCCCACCTGGCCAGAGGTGCTGAGGGGGGGAACTTCATAAATGTCACCTGGCCAGAGGTGGTGGGGGAGATTTCATAACCCCACCTAGCCAGAGGTGCTGGGGGGACTTCATAACCACACCTAGCCAGAGGTGCCGGGAGGACTTCATAACCACACCTGGACAGAGGTGCTGGGGGGACATCATAACCTCACCTGCTCAGAGGTGCTAGGGGGTATCATAATCCCACCTGGCCAGAGGTGCTGTGGGGCCATCATAACCCAACCTGGCCAGAGGTGCTGGGGGGACATCTTAACCTCACCTGGCCAGAGGTGCTAGGGGGATATCATAATCCCACCTGGCCAGAGATTCTGGGGGGACATCATAACCCCAGCTGGCCGGAGGTGCCGGGGGGCGGGGGGAACTTCATAACCCCACCTGGCCAGAGGTGCTGGGGGGACATCATAACCTCACCTGGCCAGAGGTGCTAGGGGGTATCATAATCCCACCTGGCCAGAGATGCTGGGGGGCCATCATAACCCCACCTGGCCAGAGGTGCTGTGGGGCCATCATAACCCCACCTGGCCGGAGGTGCTGGGGGGCGGGGGGAACTTCGTAACCCCACCTGGCCAGAGGTGCTGGGGGTGACTTCATAAATGTCACCTGGCCAGAGGTGCTGGGGGGGATTTCATAACCCCACCTGACCAGGGGTGCTGGGGGGACATCATAACCTCACCTGGCCAGAGGTGCTGGGGGGTATCATAATCTGACCTGGCCAGAGATGCTGGGGGGACATCATAACCCCACCTGGCCAGAGGTGTTGTGGGGCCATCATAACCCCAGCTGGCCGGAGGTGCTGGGGGGCGGGGGGAACTTCTTAACCCCACCTGGCCAGAGGTGCTGGGGGTGACTTCATAAATGTCACCTGGCCAGAGGTGCTGGGGGGGATTTCATAACCCCACCTGGCCAGAGGTGCTGGGGGGACATCATAACCTCACCTGGCCAGAGGTGCTGGGGGGTATCATAATCCCACCTGGCCAGAGATGCTGGGGGGACATCATAACCCCACTTGGCCAGAGGTGCTGTGGGGCCATCATAACCCCAGCTGGCCGGAGGTGCTGGGGAGCGGGGGGAACTTCATAACCCCACCCGGCCAGAGGTGCTGGGGGTGACTTCATAAATGTCACCTGGCCAGAGGTGCTGGGGGGATTTCATAACCCAACCTGGCCAGAGGTGCTGGGGGGACATCTTAACCTCACCTGGCCAGAGGTGCTAGGGGGATATCATAATCCCACCTGGCCAGAGATGCTGGGGGGACATCATAACCCCACCTGGCCGGAGGTGCTGGGGGGCGGGGGGAACTTCATAACCCCACCTGGCCAGAGGTGCTGGTGGTGACTTCATAAATGTCACCTGGCCAGAGGTGCTGGGGGGGATTTCATAACCACAGCTGGCCATAGGTGCTGGGGGAGATTTCATAACCCCACCTGGCCAGAGGTGCTGGGGGGACTTCATAACCACACCTGGCCAGAGGTGCCAGGAGGACTTCATAACCACACCTGGCCAGAGGTGCTGGGGGGACATCATAACCTCACCTGGCCAGAGGTGCTGTGGGGGGGTATTATAACCCCACCTGGCCAGAGGTGCTGGGGGGTATCATAATCCTACCTCGACAGAGGTGCTGTGGGGCCATCATAACCCCAGCTGGCAGGAGGTCCTGGTGGGCCATCATAACCCCACCTGGCCAGAGGTGCTGGGCGGCGGGGGGAACTTCTTAACCCCACCTGGCCAGAGGTGCTGGGGGTGACTTCAAAATGTCACCTGGCGAGAGGTGCTGGGGGGGATTTCATAACCCCACCTGGCCAGAGGTGCCGGGGGGACTTCATAACCCCACCTGGCCAGAGGTGCCGGGAGGACTTCATAACCACACCTGGCCAGAGGTGCCGGGGGGGCATCATAACCACACCTGGCCAGAGGTGCCGGTGGGACTTCATAACCCCACCTGGCCAGAGGTGCCGGGGGGACTTCATAACCACACCTGGCCAGAGGTACCGGGGGGACATCATAACCACACCTGGCCAGAGGTGCCGGGGGGACATCATAACCTCACCTGGCCAGAGGTGCTGGGGGTGGGTATTATATCCCCACCTGGCCAGAGGTGCTGGGGGGGACGTCATAACCACACTTGGCCAGAGGTGCCGGTGGGACTTCATAACCCCACCTGGCCAGAGGTGCTGGGGGACATCATAACCCCACCTGGCCAGAGGTGCCAGGGGGGACATCATAACCCCACCTGGCCAGAGGTGCTGGGGGACATCATAATCCCACCTGGCCAGAGGTGCTCTGGGGCCATCATAACCCCACTTGGCCGGAGGTGCTGGGGGGCGGGGGGAACTTCATAACCCCACCTGGCCAGAGGTGCTGGGGGTGACTTCATAACTGTCACCTGGCCAGAGGTGCTGGGGGGGATTTCATAACCCCACCTGGCCAGAGGTGCTGCGGGGGACTTCATAACCACACCTGGCCAGAGGTGCCGGGAGGACTTCATAACCCCACCTGGCCAGAGGTGCTGGGGGACATCATAACCTCACCTGGCCAGAGGTGCTGGGGGGTATCATAATCCCACCTGGCCAGAGATGCTGGGGGGACATCATAACCCCACCTGGCCAGAGGTGCTGTGGGGCCATCATAACCCCAGCTGGCCGGAGGTGCTGGGGGCAGGGGGAATTTCATAACCCTACCCGGACAGAGGTGCTAGGGGTGACTTCATAAATGTCACCTGGCCAGAGGTGCTGGAGGGGATTTCATAACCCCACCTGGCCAGAGGTGCTGGGGGGGACTTCATAACCCCACCTGGCCAGAGGTCCTGGGGGACTTCATAACCCCACCTGGCCAGAGGTGCTGGGGGGACATCATAACTTCACCTGGCCAGAGGTGCTGGGGGGTATCATAATCCCACCTGGCCAGAGATGCTGGGGGGACATCATAACCCCACCTGCCAGAGGTGCTGGGGGGCGGGGGGAACTTCATAACCCCACCTGGCCAGAGGTGCTGGGGGTGACTTCATAAATGTCACCTGGCCAGAGGTGCTGGGGGGATTTCATAACCCAACCTGGCCAGAGGTGCTGGGGGGACATCATAACCTCACCTGGCCAGAGGTGCTAGGGGGATATCATAATCCCACCTGGCCAGAGATGCTGGGGGGACATCATAACCCCACCTGGCCGGAGGTGCTGGGGGGCGGGGGGAACTTCCTAACCCTACCTGGCCGGAGGTGCTGGGGGTGACTTCATAAATGTCACCAGGCCAGAGGTGCTGGGGGGGATTTCATAACCACAGCTGGCCAGAGGTGCTGGGGGAGATTTCATAACCCCACCTGGCCAGAGGTGCTAGTGGGACTTCATAATCACACCTGGCCAGAGGTGCCAGGAGGACTTCATAACCACACCTGGCCAGAGGTGCTGGGGGGACATCATAACCTCACCTGGCCAGAGGTGCTGTGGGGGGGTATTATAACCCCACCTGGCCAGAGGTGCTGGGGGGGTCATAATCCCACTTGGCCAGAGGTGCTGTGGGGCCATCATAACCCCAGCTGGCCGGAGGTGCCGGGGGGCGGGGGGAACTTCATAACCCCACCTGGCCAGAGTTGCTGGGGGTGACTTCATAAATGTCACCTGGCCAGAGGTGCTGCGGGGGATTTCATAACCCCACCTGGCCAGAGGTGCTGGGGGGACATCATAACCTCACCTGGCCAGAGGTGCTAGGGGATATCATAATCACACCTGGCCAGAGATGCTGGGGGGCCATCATAACCCCACCTGGCCAGCGGTGCTGTGGGGCCATCATAACCCCACCTGGCCAGAGGTGCTGGGGGTGACTTCATAAATGTCACCTGGCCAGAGGTGCTGGGGGGGATTTCATAACCCCACCTGGCCAGGGGTGCTGGGGGGACATCATAACCTCACCTGGCCAGAGGTGCTGGGGGGTCATCATAACCCCACCTGGCCAGAGGTGCTGTGGGGCCATCATAACCCCAGCTGGCCGGAAGTGCTGGGGGCTGGGGGAGCTTCTTAACCCCACCTGGCCAGAGGTGCTGGGGGTGACTTCATAAATGTCACCTGGCCAGAGGTGCTGGGGGGGATTTCATAACCCCACCTGGCCAGAGGTGCTAGGGGGACATCATAACCTCACCTGGCCAGAGGTGCTGGGGGGTATCATAATCCGACCTGGCCAGAGATGCTGGGGGGACATCATAACCCCACTTGGCCAGAGGTGCTGTGGGGCCATCATAACCCCAGCTGGCCGGAGGTGCTGGGGGGCGGGGGGAACTTCATAACCCCACCCGGCCAGAGGTGCTGGGGGTGACTTCATAAATGTCACCTGGCCAGAGGTGCTGGGGGGATTTCATAACCTAACCTGGCCAGAGGTGCTGGGGGGATATCTTAACCTCACCTGGCCAGAGGCGCTAGGGGGATATCATAATCCCACCTGGCCAGAGATGCTGGGGGGACATCATAACCACACCTGGCCAGAGGTGCCGGGGGGACATCATAACCTCACCTGGCCAGAGGTGCTGGGGGTGGGTATTATATCCCCACCTGGCCAGAGGTGCTGGGGGGGACGTCATAACCACACTTGGCCAGAGGTGCCTGTGGGACTTCATAACCCCACCTGGTCAGAGGTGCCGGGGGGACTTCATAACCACACCTGGCCAGAGGTGCCGGGGGGACATCATAACAACACCTGGCCAGAGGTGCCGGGGGACAACATAACCACACCTGGCCAGAGGTGCCCAGAGGACTTCATAACCACACCTGGCCAGAGGTGCCCGGAGGACTTCATAACCCCACCTGTCCAGAGGTGCCGGGAGGACTTCATAACCACACCTGGCCAGAGGTGCTGGGCGGACTTCATAACCACACCTGGCCAGAGGTGCTGGGGGACATCATAACCTCACCTGGCCAGAGGTGCTGGGGGGTATTATAATCCCACCTGGCCAGAGATGCTGGGGGGACATCATAACCCCACCTGGCCAGAGGTGCTGTGGGGCCATCATAACCCCAGCTGGCCGGAGGTGCTGGGGGCAGGGGGAATTTCATAACCCCACCCGGCCAGAGGTGCTGGGTGTGACTTCATAAATGTCACCTGGCCAGAGGTGCTGGAGGGGATTTCATAACCCCACCTGGCCAGAGGTGCTGGGGGGGATTTCATAACCACACCCGGCCAGAGGTGCCGGGAGGACTTCATAACCCCACCTGGCCAGAGGTGCTGGGGGGACATCATAACTTCACCTGGCCAGAGGTGCTGGGGGGTATCATAATCCCACCTGGCCAGAGATGCTGGGGGGACATCATAACCCCACCTGGCCAGAGGTGCTGGGGGGCGGGGGGAACTTCATAACCCCACCTGGCCAGAGGTGCTGGGGGTGACTTCATAAATGTCACCTGGCCAGAGGTGCTGGGGGGATTTCATAACCCCACCTGGCCAGAGGTGCTGGGGGGACATCATAACCTCAGCTGGCCAGAGGTGCTAGAGGGATATCATAATCCCACCTGGCCAGAGATGCTGGGGGGACATCATAACCCCACCTGGCCGGAGGTGCTGGGGGGCGGGGGGAACTTCCTAACCCTACCTGGCCGGAGGTGCTGGGGGTGACTTCATAAATGTCACCAGGCCAGAGGTGCTGGGGGTGGATTTCATAACCACAGTTGGCCAGAGGTGCTGGGGGAGATTTCATAACCCCACCTGGCCAGAGGTGCTAGTGGGACTTCATAATCACACCTGGCCAGAGGTGCCAGGAGGACTTCATAACCACACCTGGCCAGAGGTGCTGGGGGGACATCATAACCTCACCTGGCCAGAGGTGCTGTGGGGGGGTATTATAACCCCACCTGGCCAGAGGTGCTGGGGGAGTCATAATCCCACCTGGCCAGAGGTGCCGGGAGGACTTCATAACCACACCTGGCTAGAGGTGCCGGGCGGACTTCATAACCACACCTGGCCAGAGGTGCTGGGGGACATCATAACCCCACCTGGCCAGAGGTGCCAGGGGGGACATCATAACCCCACCTGGCCAGAGGTGCTGGGGGTGACTTCATAAATGTCACCTGGCCAGAGGTGCTGGGGGGGATTTCATAACCCCACCTGGCCAGAGGTGCTGCGGGGGACTTCATAACCACACCTGGCCAGAGGTGCCGGGAGGACTTCATAACCCCACCTGGCCAGAGGTGCTGGGGGACATCATAACCTCACCTGGCCAGAGGTGCTGGGGGGTATCATAATCCCACCTGGCCAGAGATGCTGGGGGTACATCATAACCCCACCTGGCCAGAGGTGCTGTGGGGCCATCATAACCCCAGCTGGCCGGAGGTGCTGGGGGCAGGGGGAATTTCGTAACCCCACCCGGCCAGAGGTGCTGGGGGTAACTTCATAAATGTCACCTGGCCAGAGGTGCTGGAGGGGATTTCATAACCCCACCTGGCCAGAGGTGCTGGGGGGGACTTCATAACCACACCCGGCCAGAGGTGCCAGGAGGACTTCATAACCCCACCTGGCCAGAGGTGCTGAGGGGACATCATAACTTCACCTGGCCAGAGGTGCTGGGGGGTATCATAATCCCACCTGGCCAGAGATGCTGGGGGGACATCATAACCCCACCTGGCCGGAGGTGCCGAGGGGCGGGGGGAACTTCATAACCCCACCTGGCCAGAGGTGCTGGGGGTGACTTCATAAATGTCACCTGGCCAGAGGTGCTTCGGGGGATTTCATAACCCCACCTGGCCAGAGGTGCTGGGGGGACATCATAACCTCACCTGGCCAGAGGTGCTAGGGGGTATCATAATCCCACCTGGCCAGAGATGCTGGGGGGCCATCATAACTCCACCTGGCCAGAGGTGCTGTGGGGCCATCATAACCCCACCCGGCCAGAGGTGCTGGAGGTGACTTCATAAATGTCACCTGGCCAGAGGTGCTGGGGGGGATTTCATAACCCCACCTGGCCAGGGGTGCTGGGGGGACATCATAACCTCACCTGGCCAGAGGTGCTGGGGGGTATCATAATCTGACCTGGCCAGAGATGCTGGGGGGACATCATAACCCCACCTGGCCAGAGGTGCTGTGTGGCCATCATAACCCCAGCTGGCCGGAGGTGCTGGGGGGCGGGGGGAACTTCATAACCCCACCCGGCCAGAGGTGCTGGGGGTGACTTCCTAAATGTCATCTGGCCAGAGGTGCTGGGGGGATTTCATAACCTAACCTGGCCAGAGGTGCTGGGGGGACATCTTAACCTCACCTGGCCAGAGGCGCTAGGGGGATATCACAATCCCACCTGGCCAGAGATGCTGGGGGGACATCATAACCCCACCTGGCCGGAGGTGCTGGGAGGCGGGGGGAAATTCATAACCCCACCTGGCCAGAGGTGCTGGTGGTGACTTCATAAATGTCACCTGGCCAGAGGTGCTGGGGGGGATTTCATAACCACAGCTGGCCATAGGTGCTGGGGGAGATTTCATAACCCCACCTGGCCAGAGGTGCTGGGGGGACATCATAACCTCACCTGGCCAGAGGTGGTAGGGGGTATCATAATCCCACCTGGCCAGAGATGCTGGGGGGCCATCATAACCCCACCTGGCCAGAGGTGCTGTGGGGCCATCATAACCCCACCTGGCCAGAGGTGCTGGGGTTGACTTCATAAATGTCACCTGGCCAGAGGTGCTTGGGGGGATTTCATAACCCCACCTGGCCAGGGGTGCTGGGGGGACATCATAACCTCACCTGGCCAGAGGTGCTGGGGGGTATCATAATCTGACCTGGCCAGAGATGCTGGGGGGACATCATAACCCCACCTGGCCAGAGGTGCTGTGGGGCCATCATAACCCCAGCTGGCCGGAGGTGCTGGGGGTTGGGGGGAACTTCTTAACCCCACCTGGCCAGAGGTGCTGGGTGTGACTTCATAAATGTCACCTGGCCAGAGGTGCTGGGGGAGATTTCATAACCCCACCTGGCCAGAGGTGCTGGGGGGATATCATAACCTCACCTGGCCAGAGGTGCTGGGGGGTATCATAATCCCACCTGGCCAGAGATGCTGGGGGGACATCATAACCCCACCTAGCCAGTGGTGCTGTGGGGCCATCATAACCCCAGCTGGCCGGAGGTGCTGGGGGGCGGGGGGAACTTCATAACCCCACCCGGCCAGAGGTGCTGGGGGTGACTTCATAAATGTCACCTGGCCAGAGGTGCTGGGGGGATTTCATAACCTAACCTGGCCAGAGGTGCTGGGGGGACATCTTAACCTCACCTGGCCAGAGGTGCTAGGGGGATATCATAATCCCACCTGGCCAGAGATGTTGGGGGGACATCATAACCCCACCTGGCCGGAGGTGCTGGGAGGCGGGGGGAACTTCATAACCCCACCTGGCCAGAGGTGCTGGTGGTGACTTCATAAATGTCACCTGGCCAGAGGTGCTGGGGGGGATTTCATAACCACAGCTGGCCATAGGTGCTGGGGGAGATTTCATAACCCCACCTGGCCAGAGGTGCTGGGGGGACATCATAACCTCACCTGGCTAGAGGTGCTGTGGGGGTGTATTATAACCCCACCTGGCCAGAGGTGCTGGGGGGTATCATAATCCCACCTGGCCAGAGGTGCTGTGGGGCCATCATAACCCAATCTGGCCGGAGGTCCTGGGGGGCCATCATAACCCCACCTGGCCAGAGGTGCTGGGGGGCGGGGGGAACTTCTTAACCCCACCTGGCCAGAGGTGCTGGGGGTGACTTCATAAATGTCACCTGGCCAGAGGTGCTGCGGGGGATTTCATAACCCCACCTGGCCAGAGGTGCTGGGGGGACATCATAACCTCACCTGGCCAGAGGTGCTAGGGGATATCATAATCCCACCTGGCCAGAGATGCTGGGGGGCCATAATAACCCCACCCGGCCGGAGGTGCTGGGGGGCGGGGGGAACTTCATAACCCCACCTGAGCAGAGGTGCTGGGGGTGACTTCATAAATGTCACCTGGCCAGAGGTGCCGGGGGGACTTCATAACCCCACCTGGCCAGAGGTGCCGGGAGGACTTCATAACCACACCTGGCCAGAGGTGCTGCGGGGACATCATAACCTCACCTGGCCAGAGGTGCTGGGGGTGGGTATTATATCCCCACCTGGCCAGAGGTGCTGGTGGGGGGACTTCATAACCACACCTGGCCAGACTTGCCGGGGGGACATCATAACCACACCTGGCCAGAGGTGCCAGTGGGACTTCATAACCCTACCTGGCCAGAGGTGCCGGGGGTACTTCATAACCCCACCTGGCCAGAGGTGCTGGGGGGACATCATAACCACACCTGGCCAGAGGTGCCGGGGGGACATCATAACCACACCTGGCCAGAGGTGCCGGGGGGACATCATAACCACACCTGGCCAGAGGTGCCCGGAGGACTTCATAACCACACCTGGCCAGAGGTGCCGGGGGGACATCATAACCACACCTGGCCAGAGGTGCTGGGGGTGGGTATTATATCCCCACCTGGCCAGAGGTGCTGGGAGGGGACTTCATAACCACACCTGGCCAGAGGTGCCGGGGGGACATCATAACCACACCTGGCCAGAGGTGCCGGTGGGACTTCATAACCCCACCTGGCCAGAGGTGCCAGGGGACTTCATAACTACACCTGGCCAGAGGTGCCGGTGGGACATCATAACCACACCTGGGCAGAGGTGCCGGGGGGACATCATAACCACACCTGGCCAGAGGTGCCAGGAGGACTTCATAAACACACCTGGCCAGAGGTGCCCGGAGGACTTCATAACCACACCTGTCCAGAGGTGCCAGGAGGACTTCATAACCACACCTGGCCAGAGGTGCTGGGCGGACTTCATAACCACACCTGGCCAGAGGTGCTGGGGGACATCATAACCCCACCTGGCCAGAGGTGCTGGGGGACATCATAACCACACCTGGCCAGAGGTGCTGGGGGACATCATAACCCCACCTGGCCAGAGGTGCTTGGGGACTTCATAACCACACCTGGCCAGAGGTCCCGGGGGGGCCATCATAACCCCACCTGGCCGGAGGTGCCGGGGGGGGCCATCATAACCCCACCTGGCCAGAGGTGCCGGGGGGACTTCATAACCACGCCTGGCCAGAGGTGCCGGGGGGACTTCATAACCACGCCTGGCCATAGGTGCCGGGGGGACTTCATAACCGCGCCTGGCCAGAGGTGCTGGGGGACTTCATAACTGCACCTGGCCAGAGGTGCTGGGGGATATCATAACCGCACCTGGCCAGTGGTGCTCGGGGACATCATAACCCCACCTGGCCAGAGGTGCTGGGGGAGTTCATAACCCCACCTGGCCAGAGGTGCTGGAGGCCATCACAACCCCACCTGGCCATAGGTGCTGGGGGACTTCATAACCACACCTGGTGTGTACCACCACGCCACCCTAATTTTTGAATTTTTAGTAGAGACGGGGTTTCGCCATGTTGGCAAGGCTGGTCTCTACTCCTTACCTCTAGTGATCCATCCACCTCAGCCTCCGAAAATGCTGGGATTACAGGCATGAGCCACCGCGCCCGGCCGTATCCTGGAACTTTACTGAATTCATTTATGAATTCTGACAGTTGTTTGGAAGAATCTTTAGGTTTGTTTAAATATAAGGTCACATCATCTACTAACAATGACAATTTGACTTTCCATTATTCATGCTGTTTGTTTCTTTCTGTTGTCTAATTGCTCTGGTTAAAACTTTGAGTACTATGTTGAATAAGTGGGGAAAATGAGTATCCTTGTTTTGTTCCAGATCAGAGAAAAGGCTTTCGGTTTTTTTTCCCATTTAGTATAATACTAGCTGTGAGTTTATTTTATATGACATTTATTATGTTCTTCCTATACACAGTTTGTTCAGGGTTTTTCTCATGACAGGATGTGGAATTTTATTGAATGTTTAAAAGCATCTATTGAAATAATTTATGGTTTTTGTCCTGCATTCTTTTGATGCATTGTGCCACGTTTATTGATTTGCATATGCTGAACCATCTTTGCATCCCGGGGATGCATCCCACTTGATCAAAATGAATGATCTTTTTAATGTGTTCTTGAATTTGGGATGCTAGTATTTCACTGAGGATTTTTGTATCTACATTCATCAGAAATATTGGCCTGTAGTTTTCTTTTTTGTTTGTCTGGTTTTTGTATCAGGATAATGCTGGACTTGTAGAATGAGTTTAGGTGTATTTCCTTCTTTTATATTTTTTGGGGTAGTTTGAGTAGAATTGGTATTAGTTGTTCTTTAGATATTTGGCAAATTCAGCAGTGAAGCCATGAGGTACTTAGCTTTTCTTTGATGGGAGACTTTTCAGCACTGCCCCTATCTCACTGTATGTTATTGGTGTATTCATGCTTTCCATTTCTTCATGTTTAAATCCTGGTAGGTGGTATGTGTCTAGGAATTTATCAATTTCCTCTGCCTTTTCCAATTTTTTGGCATGTATAATAGTTGCTCATAGTAGTCTCTAAAGATATTTTGAATTTCAGTGATATCAGTTGTAATGTCATCTCTCTGATTTAATTTATTTGAGTCTTCTCTTTTTTCTTAGTCTGTCAAAAGAGTTTGTCAATTTTGTTTATCTTTCCAAAAACCGACTTTTTGTTTTGTGATCTTTTGTATTTTTTGTTTCAATTTGATTTCTGCTCTGATCTTTATTATTTATTGTCTTCTCTTAATTTTAGGTTTGATTTGCTATTGCTTTTCTAATTCTTTAAGGTGGTGCATCATTTGGTTGTCTGAAGTCTTTTTACTCTCTCTCTCTCTTTTTTTTTTTTTTTTGAGACAGGGTCTGGCTCTGTCACTCAGGCTGGAGTGTAGTGGCGTGATCTCGGCTTACTGCAACCTCTGCCTCCCAAGCTCATGCCATCCTCCCACCTCAGCCTCCTGCGTAGTTGGGACTCTAGGCATGTGCCACCACACTCAGCTTTTTTTTTTTTTTTTTTTTTTTTTTGGATTTTTGGTAGAAACGGGGTTTCATCATGTTGCTCAGGCTTGTCTCAAACTCCTGAGCTCAAGCAATCCACCTGCTTTGGCTTCCCGAAGTGCTGGGATTACAGGCATGAGCCACTGTGCCTAGCCTTTACTCTTCTAACATAGGCATTTATTAGTATAAGCTTCCTTCTTAGTACTGCTTTTGATATACTTCATAGGTTTTGGTACGTTGTATTTCAATTTTTTACAGTTTCAAGAAACTTTAAAATTTCTGTCTTAGTTGCTTCATTGAGCAATGGTATTCAGGAGCATGTTATTTAATTTCTATGTATTTGAATAGTTTCCCAAGTTCCTCTTGTTGTTGATTTCTAGTTTTATTCTATTGTGGTCACAGAAGACAACTGATATAATTTTGATTTTTTCAAATTTTCTGAGACTTTTTTTGTGGCCTAAGGTATGGTCTGTTCTGGAGAATGTTCCATGTGCTAATAAGAATGTGTATTCTGCAGCTGTTAGATGAAATGTTCTGTAAATATCTGTTAGATCCATTTGGTCTCTAGCGCAGATTAAGTCAGATGTTTCTATGTTGATTTTCTGCCTGGAAGTTCTGTCCAGTGCTGAAAGTAGGTTGTTGAAGTCTCCAGCTATTATGGTACTGAGGACTATCTCTCTCTTTAGCTGTAATAATATTTGCTTTATACATCTGGCTGCTCCAGTGTTGGGCCCATATATGTTTACCATTGTTATATCCTCTTGCTGAGTTAACCACTTCATCCTCATATAATAACCGTTTTTGTCTTTTTTTTTTACTGTTTTGTCTTGAAACGTCTTATATCAGAAACTTTATCTGATATAAATACAGTGACTCTTGCTTTTTTGTTTCCATTTGCATGGAATATCTATTTTCATCCCTTCCTTTTCAGTCTGTGTGTATCTTTATGGGTGAAGTGAGTTTCTTTCCTTTTTTTTTTTTTTTTGACAGAATTTCTTTCTCATTGCCCAGGCTGGAGTGTAATGACACGGTCTTGGCTCACTACAACCTCC